>NC_000006.12:162949577-163101093 GCF_000001405.40 Homo sapiens
ACAAGTGCCTGATAAATAGGTACACATATTATGTGTCAAGTTTTAAAAAGAAAATAAATAAACTGTGTATGAAAAAATTTAATGACATTTTATTTCCCCAGTGATACATACTTTTGAGTGAAAAATAGAGTGAGGGCAGAAACTAAGTCAGATTCTTGGAGGCTGTGATTTAAGTTTTGTGAGGGTTTGTTGTATTTCCAATTTCTCTTACTCCTAGGGCCCAGCTCTGAAGAGGGCTGAACTGGCAGGTGTTTACCAGGTACTAAAATGTCTTAATTTCTGCTTAGATTTTTAGCCTTTTAACAGATGCTGTCTGCATGGTTTCTGGGCCTCTCTCCTAGGATGTGGAACTGAAAGACTGGCAAATGTCTCTAAGGGAAATTGCATTAGATGAAACATAAAAACTCTGAGCAACTTTGATCCTGAAAGAAGTTTTGATTTTGCAATGGTACATATTTTACACCTGTTTTTAAATAATTTTTAGTGTTTTTTAAAAAATTAAGAAATCACATTATGAATCCTTGTGAAAAAAATTATCTTTTTCTAAGTTTTTGTTTCCATTTTTTCTTTGAACATTTTGATTTTTATGTATTAACTTTTACTGATATGATGCAGTAATTATTAAAAGTAGTCGAACAGGCTGGGCACGGTGGCTCACGCCTATAATCCCAGCACTTTGGGAGGCCGAGACGGGTGGATCGTGAGGTCAGGAGATCGAGACCATCCTGACTAACACGGTGAAACCCCGTCTCTACTAAAAATACAAAAAAGAAAAAAAAAATTAGCCGGGCGTGGTGGCGAGCGCCTGTATTCCCAGCTACTTGGGAGGCTGAGGCAGGAGAATGGCATGAACCCGGGAGGCGGAGCTTGCAGTGAGCCAAGATCATGCCACTGCACTCCAGCCTGGGCTACAGAGCAAGACTCCATCTCAATAAATAAATAAATAAATTAATTAATAATAAAAGTAGTTGAACAGATCATATTTTGTACAGTGAATTTCATGCCTTCTCATCTCCAAATTAAAATATGGTTTTGGATATACGTTCATGATTCAAAATTTGTTTCAGTATTTAAAGCATATTAATCCTTTCAAGTCTATTTTTCTTGGTAAATGAATTAAAGGAAAAAATACTACAAATATCTAATTGTTCCTGAATTCAATACAAACTGATATTTTAAACTTGTAAAATGTATATGGGAAAAATTCAATATAAACATTGAAAAAGCTCTTTCAGTGTAGAAAGGGCTAATAGTTAAAAAGAAAAGCCTAGACAGAGTGGACAAGATAAACCAGTTGATGAAAATAAGCTTGTTCTAGCACTTAGTGAAACAAGTGAACAAAGATTGGGGACTGCAGTACAGCTTTTAATTAATATAAAAAATTTAAAACAGACGGAGTGTTTAATTTGTCTCTGAATATGAGATGAAGGATTTTACCCTCTTCAGGTGAAATTGAATCTTGTATGTAACACAGATGGTTTGTGGGTGTGTATTTTCCCTGTAAGTTGGGTATTATTTGTTTCATGAATGAAAGTTCCCTGAAAAGGAAGTAGGAGGAAAGCAACTTTGTTCCAGTGAACAGTTTGCAAACTGGGGAGACACAGCTTTTGTTGTAATGCAATGATGTTCTACAGAATAAAGAAAGGGTTTGGGCTTTATAGCAAAAGTTCCCTCCCAGGTTTTCTATCAAGTCTATTTATGCAAATGAAAGATTGAAACTCGCTTAGTTCTTATTGGTCAGCACAGCTGAGCTATGACTGATCAATATAGCTGAGCCCTGATTGGTTGATACAGCTGAGCCCAGATTGACACAGGCAGGAAGGCTCTGATTGATTGGCCTCCAAGCCCCAAACCAGAATTCTCTGTCAGATATTTCTTTCAAACAGCAGTTGGCGGGGAGGGATTCTCAGCCACAGTCTGTTTTATCACCAAACATAGGAACTGGTTTGGCTTCATTGTAGAAAGGGAGGTCCTGTGATACGTCCACAACATCTTTCTGAGAACAGAGTACCTGACCACTCCCTCTCACAGCTATTGCTGCCTGTTTCTGTATTTACTTTGAGCACCTCAGTTGGCCATGCAGAGTCTGTTTTGTCTTTCAGCTGGGGGCATACTTTAACGGTTTATGTTTTAATTTCTTTTTATTTTAAAGATTTCATCAGTTACAGGGTGCAAACATTCCAGGGATGGCAATTCAGTATTTCTTTCAGCTGATGGTTTTTTAAAAGGGCCAGTCTGTTCAGTTTTTTGCTCTCGTTGTAGTCTTACTGGGGAGGGGAGCACTAGCAAGAGAGCTGGGAGCTTCCTCTAGCAGCCAACATAGCTTTCCTGGTCTTAACCCATCAGCTTTGCTTGTGCCTCCAAGAATTCCCTTCTGCTTTCCAGGTTTCTGCTGCTGAATCTTAGGAGAGAAATGCTCTGTGCATTTCTCAAGCACAGAAATGAGATTTGTCCTTAAACAAAAATGTCAATAGTTCCTACGTAGCTGAAACTGAAATGACAGGGGTAATGATCCTTTATCTCTACCTCTCCGTCATGAAAGAGAGAGACTCATCTTCTAGTAAATTAGCTCTTCCCTCCGTTTATTGTAAGAAATTATTTATTTAGTTGCTAACCCAGTCTCTTCTTATAAGACAGTGCTAAAGGAAAAATGGAACTTTAAAAACATTACACAGCACACTATTGTAGGTCATGAAATAGTCTGAACCTATTTACATCTAGTTTTTTTGCCTTTCAGCAGCTAGGTATTAAAACTTAGGAACCCCTTGTTGTATATAGATTACTAAATTTTCATATTATAACCCTTTCCTCTTTAATGTAAAATAGCCTAAAAGAATCTTCCATCAGAAACCACTTCAACAAAACCTAAGGAATTGGGTGGTTCAATAGATAAATAGTACTGTTCCACAGGGAGTGAGGTTCACGTCCAGCCTCAAGTCTAAATTAAATGAGCTTGATCGTATCTCTTCAGTCTCTTGTGAGCAGCAGTCCAGAATACTGAACTGTATGAATAATTCCACAGTTTGGCGTGATTGATAGTCTTGGCTCAGGAGAGTCCCAGAATTGAACTAACAACCACACTAAATTGTATCACATCTTTAAAGGAGATAGCCCTGTTTAGTGAGGGCTCAGTTACACGAAAGGGCCATGGGAAGTAGCATGCATCATCCTTAGTCTGGGAAGAGGTAGAGAATGGCTTCCAGCTCTGCTCCTGGGCTCATAATTGAATCAGGTTTTGCAGCTCAAATGGCACCAAATGATTTATTTTCTTCTCTTGGGCTACCTCTAGCTTCGACGTTTTTGCATGTGATATGGTTTTATATCTACTGATAAATATGTGAATTTTTCTTGCTAAATAATTTGTCTCTAGCAGTGATAAGAAATATCTGTATTTCAAATATATAAAAAAATCTCCATGGCTGTAGTCTGTGTACATTCTTTGGCGTACAAAAATTCATTGCATTTATCTACCTATTATTTAGCTATTTTTTAAATATTTTGTGTGGTGAAACCTGGGAATTCAGGGGAGTGTGTTGCTTTAATTTAAAGAACCACAAGTGTCATAACTGCATTAAAATTTTACTCTCCTTATAACCTATATTTAATCAATCATATTCATTGACTTTTAGGCTCTGTAGTCACGGTAGTTAAGGAGGAGTTCAAACAGAAATATATAAAAGGTATAGCTTTAGCAATCTGTATTATTTAATATTTTAAAATTTTTATTAAGCTTTAACTGAACGACAGCTACTTGCAATGTTCAAGCTTATTAATTCAGTTATTTAAATGACATAGAAAACTTCTTTTAATGTATGTAGATCAGTCTCTGGAAGAAAACTTAGAAGATAATACTGTAAACTAATGATTATTAAATAAAATCAACCTTTTTTTCTGAAAGGCAACATGAACAAAGCAATACATTTTATCTAGTAAAAGTAGAAAATGTAAGATTAATTGCTTCCAAAAATGTTAGGGTTCACATGACCTTGAGATTATTCTCTGACTGACTATCAAGCTAACATATGAGATAGCAGAGATTTTTCCTTGGAACTGTCTAGAACTGCCATAGTACTTGACTGACAGAGCTTGCTGTCCTCCCGCTCTCTCTCCCTAACCCCCCCACACTTTCTCCCACCCCCATTTCTCTCTCTTATTGTTCCACTAGCAAATGTTAAGCATCCATGATAACACAAGAAAGAACAGTGGCATATTCTGTTCTTAAATGTAAATTCACTTTTTCTCTAACTCTGTAGACTTCAGAGTGTACATTTAGGCTGTGGTTTGGTTTTGCAAAAAAGCAGAAATGAAAAATACTATATGAACTTATCAATACTGCCTTTTAAAAATCTATTAACTATCAAGATGGAATATTAATGTAGAATACCAATTTTTTATTTTTACAAAATTCTAATATATAATGAAATACCTATAACCTCAATATTTTCCACATAGTTTTTATTTGCTAATTGAGTAGTAAATAAAACAATGTAAAATAATTGTTTTGCCTGTGGATAGGCTTATTTAAAAGTAATATCATCTTTACAAAGTGTGCATTCTTATTGTATGTTAGAGTATCATCTACCACTTCAGAGACTGATGAAATGTTTCAGTTTGTATGTGTTGCTACTAAGCAGCTCAAAGCAATTGTCTAGTTTAATGTATTTCCAATTAATTTTTAGTTGCATTAGAAAACAGAATGATGCTTTGGTTATTTAGCTGTGAAAATAATGAAGCAGGTGTTTTGAAATCCCTGACCTTCATGTTCAACATGAAAAACATGGGTAATGTATATAAGTTTGTCTTTAGCTTCCCTCACTTAGACTTACAGACTAGAAAAACAGTTACAAAATTTCCTGAGTTGCTTTTTTTTTTTTAATGGCCTAAAGGTTCTCAATTTAGAATTGGTTGCTCTAAATATTTAAACATTATTTTTTTACTGCACAACCCTTTAGCCTAAAATATTATTATCATTGTATCAGTATTTCTGGTGTCCAGAGCTGCAATTACACTTCCCACTAATTAATTTGGAGTGATTTTTTTCTCCACCTTATTAGCATTCATTCATTAACCGAATAAGTTTTGAGGCTTACTGTGTACTAGACATGTGCTGGTTGAAGAAACTGTACTGATGAATGAAAACCTCATGTCAAGTAGCTTTTGGTGAGTATAGGGAAACAAAAAGAGTAAGCAAATAAATGCAGTGTTATAGCAAGTGTATTTTTTTGTCTCTTCACTCTGTACATTGGTTCATATAGTACTTTTTAGAGATCAGTGTTGATTATTCCTGTCAGCTGGTTTTACCTTTTTATAAATTAAGTATTAGCCTGATATTAGTAGCTGAGAATACTAGCAAAATGAGCTTAGGATGGTAATTAATCCATCGTGACAAACCAGTTGCAGACCAACAGCATCTGCTACTGCTGGGTAACTAGACGTATATCAGATATTATGTAGACATAACCATTACTCCCTGTTTCATGTTAACGTACCTGGGTTTGAAATTAAATTATTTTGACATTGTCTGTAGTTGCTCACACTTACAAGAAGGGAACCTGCAGGCAAGTGAGATGAAGAGAGAAAGAAAAGGAAGAAGAAAAAGCAAAAGGGGAGAGCGGGCTGACCAGGTGAGGTGGGTAGGGTTCATAAGCAGGAGAGAGGGGAAGCATTTCAAATTCCCCTAATGGTTTTGAAATCTATTTTTGTTGTTGTTGTTGTTGTTTGTTTTTGTTTTTGTTTTTTTGAGACGGAGTCTCTCTCTGTTGCCCAAGCTGGAGTGCAGTGGTGTGGTCTTGGCTCACTGCAAGCTCTGCCTCCCGGGTTCAAGCAATTCTCCTGCCTCAGCCTCCCGAGTAGCTGGGATTACAGGCACCTGCCACCACACCCGGCTAATTTTTTGTATTTTTAGTAGATACCGGGTTTGCCCATGTTGGCCAGGCTGGTCTTGAACTCCTGACCTCGTTATCCACCCACCTTGGCCTCCCAAAGTGCTGGGATTACAGGTGTGAGCCACCACGCCCAGCCCAAAATCTGTTTTAATGTTCCATTTGTGTTTTCAGGGGAGACATAGAAATAGCGTATGATTTATTGATGATACTGATCCTGCCTCAACGTTTTGATATTCTCTTTGTTTGGCAGAAAGGAGGCTGAAGGCCCTTCTGATCCTAGTCAGCAGCAGCTGGGGTGTTACAGTCTTGGTGTCCAAGGGCCCAGGTCTGGCACTGGAAATGGATGTGTGGGGCCCAGCCTGAATCACACCCCAGGTCCTTTCCGTACTGCTTCCATTTCCTTTTTGGACTTCTTTCTCCGGGGCTGGCAACAGCCTTGTACGTGTACACATGCCTGGGGGGACAGCTGGGCTCCATTGGCAGGTGGGAGCAGCCTGGCGACATGGTGGTGGTGGGAGAGGAGCCTCTGGACATGGTGGGAAGCACAGGAGCCTGGAGGCTTTTCTCCTGCTGTTTTCTCTTTGCTCCCCAGGGCAAGCACATACCCTGTTGCTTGCACTGAGTCTACTCTCCAAAGCAACCATGACTCGTGTTAAGGTGGAAGATCAAGTGCAAGGCGGTGCCAGTTAAATAGTCGGGAATATTTACTGGTGCAAAACTGAGGATCAAAGAGAACAAGAGCATTCGGTTTTAGAGAAAGTCAGAAACCCCAGAGACCAGCCACAGACTTGCATCCTGATGCATCAAGAGCCCCAAAAGGTGGAGATTATTTTCTTTTGTCAGCAGGTTTTGCTGTTAGTCTACGGTGACAGTTTCCTTTTAAGTAGTTTAAGTTGTCAAATTACCCTTAATCAGCTTCACCACGATCAGCAGCTTTGCCCCGCTTTACCTGGATATTAATAAATGTTGGTCAGGTCAATGTTATGTTATTTGTTTCCCAGGGCTGCTGTGACACAGTACCACAAGAAAGGGAGGCTCAAAACAGCAGAAATTGGCTGTCTCAAAGCTCTGGAGGCCAGAAGTCTCAGATGAGAGTGTTGGCAGGGCCGTGCTCCCTCTGAACTCTGCGGGGCAGAATCCCTCCTCGCCTCTTCCAGCTTCTGGTGGTCTCAGTCAGTCCTTGGCTTGGGGCAGCATTGCTCCTGCAGCCGCATGGCCTTCTCCCTGTGTCTCCTCACACAGCCCTCCCCTGGATGTGTCTCTGTTTCCAACCTCCTCTGTTTGGAAGGACATCAGTCATACTAGGTTAGGACCTGTCTAAAGACCTCCAGTCAACTTGACTACATCTGCAAACAAGCTCACATCACGAGGCCCTGGGGGTTAAGAGTTCAACTTGGCTTTTTCTGGAGGGGAGGGACACAGTGTAACCTATTATCAGTTTTCTGGGGTGTTCAAGTTGGAGTATATTTCTTTGTATCATTCATGACGTTTACTGCATTTTTAATGTAGGTAGTGGGTAAATCTCACCTGATCTTTTTAGAAACACAAATACTTACCTTTTTGTCAGTAAAGCGTTTAAAAAAAAAAAACCAAGCAAACATAAGAACTAGTGATTTAGAGGTAGGCAGTAGAGTGAGACAGACTTGAGCTCCAGCCTCATGTCTGAGACTCACTAGAAAATGAATTTGGGCTTAGCCTCCCTGGTCTCAGGGTCCTCACCTGGAGAATGGATGTGTGGGGCCCAGCTTATGCCTTCAACACTTTCACAGCTTCAACACTTTTGAAGTGCTTATGCTGTCAACACTTTCACAATGATTTTCTGCTCCTCGATAAAGAAAGCACGCTTGATCCTGTCCTGAACACATTTAGCACTCATGGAACCACCACAGGCCCTGCTGACATGTTTTTTTGTTTTGGACAATCTCATAAGAACTTTAGGTCTCACAGCACGGACCCCTCAAAGTCTGCCTGGGCACACACCACATGCAGAGTTTTGGTGTTTTCCACACCTTCTTGGGATAAAGGTAGTCAATTCTATTACAAGGGGCTCGGGACAGCCTAGTTTTGCTAGAGCTGTATTGTAGGAAGCCTAAGGCAGTATGTCTAAGACCATTCTGAGTGCATGTAGACAACGACGTCCATGGAAGAGGCTGTGCGTTTCCTAGGGCAAAGGAACATTTTGTTTGTTTTATTTTTATTTCACTGTTTACTTTTTTTTTTGTCTCACATGCATATAAAAAAGGATCATTTGGAATGGTTTTCCTTTTAAAATTAAGAAGCCCAGAACTCGAATTTAATCTGAGTTAGGAAATCTAACTTGAATTTTAAAACTCCATAAAGGACATATATCTAGCCCCAACCCCAGTACCTAGAGACACAAATAGAAATAAGCTGGACTTAGACTCTCAGCCATTTGCTGGAGAGACAGGCCAGGTATGTTACTTTGGGTGCAAAGCAAGGCTAGATGAAATTTAGTTGGAATTTCTATCGATGATACTTGAATTTCATGTTTAAAGGTATTAACATTTTTTCACTAATGATATAAAACATGCTTATGCTTTAGTGAGAAGGGAAAGCCATTGAAATCCTGAGAATAATAAGATGTTTGACTACATGCATCACCTAGCCATCCTTCAGAACTTTAAGCAAAAGAAAATAAATTACTAAAAACAAAGAGCCATTAATTAGACCAGTGTGGCTTATGAAACGTTTGGAGCTTTGGAGGTAGTGCTTTGCAAATCTAGCTGGCAAAAGGTTTGGAAAACTATGCCAGCCTTAAGATTAACTCTATTTTATGAAAAATAATGAATTTCAAATATTCATATTCTATATTAATATTTAAATATTCATTTAAAAACCCATTTTTAAAATAGCTCAGATAAGGATTTTTTACAGCCTATCTCGTTTGTATGACAGACTGTTGCACACAATGGCTCATATACAATTCTTGAAACTGAGATTCCCAAGCATACCAGACATATTTTTATGTCTTTAGACTTCTAAATCAATCATATTTGGTAGCTCCTCTTAATTACCTGACCTATGGTGGTCATTTTAGTTGTAGCATCTGTTCCATTTATCCATGTGTAAAAGTATGCTTTGCTTTTAACATTAATTTATTCACTTGACAAATATTTATCAAGTATTTATAATATGTTGGACATTGACTTGACACTAAGGATAAAGCAGCAATCAAAACACTTAGGATCCTTTGTTTATGGAGCTTAGATTCAGGTATGTGGAGGCAGACAATAAAAATGGGTACACATATGCGTGTGTGTGTGTGTGTGTGTATATATATACACATACACATAAATATACATATACACACACATATATATAGCATATAGAGCATATATAGAGTGTATATATAGAGCATATATAGAGCATATATATATATATATATATATATATATATATATAGAGAGAGAGAGAGAGAGAGAGAGAGAGAGAGAGAGAGAGAGAGAGAGAGAGAGATGAAATCTCACTCCATCACCCAGGCTGGAATGTAGTGGTGTGATCATGGCTCCCTGAATCCTAGAACTCCTGACTCAAGCAATCCTGCCTCAGCCTCCGGAGTAGCTGAGACTACAGGTGCACGACACCATGCCTGGCTAACTTTTTTTTTTTTTTGTAGTGGAGATGGGGTTCTCATTATGTTGACAAGGCTAGTCTTGAATTCCTATCCTCAAGCAATCCTCCTGCCTTAGCCTACCAAAGCTCTGGGATTACAGGTGTTAGCCACCGTGCCTGGCCAACACATGGATATTATAGCGGGTGTATTGGAAGACAATAATTGTTAAAAGATGGATCTGGGAAGGGGGATAAGGAGTAGGGCCGGGGATGGGAACTTGTATAACTAGAGGGGTCAGGGTGAGCTTGCTGAGAAGGCGACATTTAAGTGAAGACCTGAAAGAGATGAAGGTCCACCACACGCACTCTGTGGAGGAGACCTGCCGTGCATGGAGGGGTGGGTCTGGTATTTTCTGCAAAGAACAAGGAGGTCAGTGTCCCCAGCATGGAGTCACTGCTGGGGCAATGGCCAGCATGGTTATGGGGCCAGAAGCTTTAGGCTATACAGACCATGGTAAGGACTTTGGCTTTTACTCTGAGTGATAAGGCGAGGCAGTCTAGGGTTTCAGCATTGGAATAACATGATCTGACTTACATTTTTGAAGGATCCCTTGGGCTCCTGAGTTGAGAAGAAATTGGAGAGGAGCAAGTGTAGGAAAAAGGAGGCCATTTGGGACATAAGTGCATTCATCCAGGAGAGAGATGGTTCTGGCTTGGACCAAGGTGCAGATGGTACAGATGGTGGAATGTGGTTGGATCCTGGACATATGAATGTGCCAGCAGTATGACAGAAAAAAGAATTCTGTATATATGCACTCAGTCATAACAAAGGTCTAATACCCAGAATCTATAAGGAACTTAAACAATTGAATGAGCATAAAACAAATAACCCCATTAAAAAGCGGGCAAAGGACATAAACAGAAACTTCTCAAAAGAAGACATACAAGCAGCCAACAAACATATGAAAAATGCTCATCATCACTAATCATCAGAGAAATGCAAATCAAACCACAATGAGGTACCATCTCACACCTGTCAGAATGTCTGTTATTAAAAACTCAAAAAACAACGGATGCTGGTGAAGCTGTGGAGAAAAAAGAAAGCTTATAACACTGTTGGTGGGAATGTAAATTAGTTCATTCACTGTGGAAAGCAGTTTGGAGATTTCTCAAAGAACTTAAAACAGAGCTACCATTTGACCCAACAATCCCATTACTGGGTATATACCGAAAGGAAAATAGATTATTATAACAAAAAGACACATGTACTCATCTGTTTATTGCTGCACTATTGACAATACCAAAGACACACATCAACCTAGGTGCCCATCAACAATGGATTGGATAAAGAAAATGTGGTACATATACACCACGGAATACTACACAGCCTTAAAAAGAATGAAACTATTTCCTTTGCAGCAACATGGATGCAGCTGGAGGCCATTATCCTAAGCAAATTAACGCAGGAACAGAAAACCAAATACTGCACATTCTCTTTTATAAGTGAGAGCTAAACATTGAGCACATATGGACGTAAACATGGGGACAACTGATACTGCAGACTACTAGAGGAGGGAGGAAGGGAGAAGCGTGCGGGTTAAAAAACTACCTATTGGGTACTATGTTCACTACCTGGATGCAATATATTCACGTAGCAAATCTGCACATGTACCCCCTATATCTAAAATAAAAGTAGAATTAAAATAAAAGAGAGGGCATTGGCTAACATAATTTAAAAGGATATTGCTTCAGACCCAGCTAGATCCAGAGACACAAACAATGTCAGAACATTCAGCCTGTTTTTCATTATTCAGATGTATTTTCTTTGGTGTTGGCTTCATTCTCAGCTAGTTTAACAGCACCATCAGGAAAACATTTTCTCTTTCCCAATAGTTAAGAGCCAAAGTTAAGACTGTAATGCGTTAACCTGGTTTAGGTCATGTGCCCATGCCAGAATCAAATATTGTGGCCATGAGAGGTAGAATAACTTTTTGGCCAGATGAGGATTGCATACTTACCTTGCTGTTTGAATTTTTGCTGTCACTCATAGCCCTGTGAACCTATTCATGACACAGCACATAGATGTACTCAAACGAGGCAAGAAGGAAGTCACTGCAAGGTTTGCATCAGTAGCCCATGTGAAAGCTGCTCATAACCTTACTGACATATTGTGTCATCCCTGTTACTTTCACAGTTTCAGGGGTTTCCATGAAAATGCTGACTGTTAAGATTGTTAAGGAAGCTGTCTAGAGGAAGAATAAGATTCCCCCAAATCCTGATTGTCTCACTTGCAACTGCAAAGTATCCAGCCTCACTCCAAGGGTGTCACAGCATGACAGCAGGTGAAGTTGACCTTGTTATTAAACACAGTCTGGAGTTTCTACTATCATGTGTCTATCTATAACTCCAACCTTGTATTTCTATCAGAGCTGCAGATCCATCTCCTCCTGCATCATGACTTTTGTAATCCAGTGGTTGACCAGGCACCTGGATTACAAACGCAACTAATCTAGTACCAAAGTCTTCATCCTCTCCTTTTTCTTCACCACCTCTGAGTCTACCACACTCCACTCCACATCTGATCTTCTCATTTCCTCATTTTGAATGGTGGCACCACCTTCTGCCCAGTCACTTAGGACTGGAATCGATGAGTCAGTCCTAGTGTCCACCTTCTCCTCCACCATCTTCATTTCTACCCGCTTCCCTAGAGTCCTGCCTTTAGTCTAGTGTCCTTCTAATCAGATCCATACCCCAAGCCAGGATGATGCATCTAAGCTGTGAGCAGAGGCATGTATTCCCATATGTAAAATGCTTTAGTGATTCTTCCTTCTTGGAGCACCTGAGGCTGTCTGTGAGCTGGCCCCTACCTACCTCTCTGTCTTTGCTCACACTCTTTCTCCTTAGTAAACGGTTAGTGCTCCAATTATATATTTCTTGTGGTTCCTTAATCAACCATCATTTGCATCACTGCTAAACTTTTGTTCCTCCTTGAATTTCCTTTTTTCTCTAGTGTGTGTGATGAAAACCAGCCTGCTCTTCTGTCTAGGCTCAGGTCAAGTGCCCCCTCTTCTCTGAACCCTTTTCTGGCCCTACCTCATTTAACCTCTGACACTTATGGGCCTCCACCTTACCTTGGGAAACTCTTCTCTCTGCCTCTGTACCAGGTTAGGGATTTTTGTCCATCTCTATGCCTAATGCCCTTTACCAGGCTCTAAGCCCCACTGGAGGCAGAGACTATGTCTTACTCATGCTTGTACTCCAGTGACTAACAGTTATTAGCATGTAATACATGTTTCTGAAGTGAATGAGTGCATTTGTTTTTCTGAGAAAGTTGTTGACTCCACTGTTTCCTCTGAAGGTGTAGTTGATGTGATTGGGCCATGTTATGGGCTGAATTAAATGCCCCCAGATTCACACCTTGAAGCCCCAAACCCCAATGTGATAGCATTTGGAAGTGGTGTGTTTTGGGGTAATTAGGTTTAGCTGAGGTCATGAAAGTGGGGCCCCCATGATGGGATTTGTGTTCTTATGGGAAGAAGAAGAGAGACCTGAGCTCTCTTACCACCAGGTGAGGACACAGGGAGAAGGCAGCTGTCATCAAGCCAGGAAGAGAGCCCTCATCAGGAACCACATCTGCCAGCATCTTGATCTTGGACTTTGCAGCCTCCAGAACTGTAAGAAATAAATGCCTGTTGTTTAAGCCACTAGTCTATGGAATTTTGTTCCAGCAGCCTGAGCTAAGACAGGTCACATGCTACAAATGTGTGCTGGGAGGTTGGAAGACAATGGATAGTGACTGAAGAACAAGGTAGATAGCAGCTTCTCTGAACTGTATTCCTGACGATGAACGTGCCTCTGTTCAGGTTGTTATGAAAGCAAATTGACTTGGATCTTGTGTTCTTCATCTCATAATTAGGGGACTTTGATTAGAAGACCTCTAGGGTCACTTTGAGGGACCACATTCTACATTTATAGATCTATATTAGTTCTAATGATACTTGTTTTGCTATAATAAGATGAAGATGTCTAGGAAAGTATAGGATAAAAATCAGAATAACTAAAAACTTAGTTATGAAAAGGAAGGCAAGGTTTTCCATAATTAATTGCTTATAAAAACTACCAAAGATGCTTGTTTGGGCAGGTGAAGGCAGGTAGAGTAATTTAAAGTATAAAAGATTTCCTTTGTTTAAGGAATGTAGTTATTAATGACTAACTCTACATAACAAAAGATTTTTCCAAGATGTGATTATATTAGACATTAAAAGCTGTTCACATTTCAAGTAGGCAAATATCAAAGTTTGGGATTTCTAATCTCTTGTTATGTGATGTATTTATAAGGTGCTGATAAAACTCTCATGGGTCACAAATTTATTATATGAAATTTTCAGTTCAAAATCATGTGTATATAATGACATAGAATAAAACAGAAGTACCCAGAATTAACATTTTAATATATAGTATGTCTATTTGTGTCTATATAAATATCTATAAATACAAATAATGTGTATTTATTTACACATTATTGTGTAATACAATGTGTAAATTTGTAATTATACATTTATTTAAATATAAAATGTATTTAAACATAAAAAGTATAAATTTATAATTATAAATTTATTGCACATTTTATATATACATTTTACATATACTTTTATAAATTTATAATTTTATACATATAAAATTATTTTATATGTATAAAATAATTGTTACTGACCTCCCAATTCACCAGTATCAGGAGGTTGTTCAGTATCAACAGAACTCTATCCAGGCCTGCATATTTTCACCATTTTTATTTTGCTATTCTATTTCATTGCAATTGCAATATATCAGTTAGATCATGGGTTGAAGCTACAGAAACAATCACCTTTCTAGCACTATTTTAACCTAGATTGTTATTCCCTTGGGCAGAAGACTCTTGCCTAATACATCTTTGTCAGCCCATAAAGACTAGTGAGATGTCTTGCCAGGAGGAGCTGGAAATCAGTAAATACTTATTTAATGAATTGGTTTGAAAATGAATAAACAAATAACCATAACAGAAGTTGAGTAGGGTACTAGTAATGCTGGAATACAACACCGTGAAAGCAGAAGCAGATAATGGATTACAGTGGCTGAAATCCTGAATGTAGAGTCAGCCCTGATTTCACATTTCAGCTCTGCCATTTACAAACTAGATAACTTAGGGCAAATTACTTAATATCATTAAAACTTACTCTTCTTGTCTATAAAACAAGTGAGCTTCTCTGAAGGTAAAATGAGATAATGCTCAGTAAAATTTTCATCACAGAGTAAACTCTGATGACTTTTTGAACTATTTTTATGGAAAGTAACAATTACAAAAATAGTAAGTTAATGAAATCATAAAGGCCTTCTTTTATCTTCATTATTGGCATTTTCACTAAAGATGTGATTTTAGGAACTGCTTTAGTAAGAAAGAGAAGATTCGAAGTCCTGAGGGGCAGCATTCCAGAAGTAGGATATGGCCTATGAAGGCTGGAAGGAAGGGCTTGGAATGATCAACAGATGTTCTGGACATCTGAGAATCTCCAGACAAGTTAACTGCACACAGCAATCTAGAAGAGAACTTTAACCTGGACATGAATGCGTTAGGAGGCTCCAAGTGAGCTCTTGGAAGAAGGAAGCCATGATCAATGCCTTATGCAGGAAAGTAACCTGGCCGCCAGCATAAGGAATGAGCAAAGAGAAGGCAGTTTTTGAAGGAAAATCCTGAGCTAAGATTAGGAAGTGACTCACTAAGTCACTGACCCCCAGGATCAGAATTATGGGTTTAGAAAGATAAACAACAGGAACTGGTATTTAGGGAGGGTGGCATCTTTTCAAGGAGGCTTCCTCTGGGAAATTCTCCAAGAGCTTTGAACATCTGAATGTAACGACATCACTTTGTACTGTAGTTATGTATCTGCTGCTGTCTCCTCTAGAGAGTGTGATGTAGGACATTGGAACTCGCTGAGCTGTTATCTGGAAGCATGCCCAGTGGGGCTGTGGCTGTGAAGATGGAAGTGCCTTAAGGACTCACAGCTGGAGTTGGGTAGGGTGCGAGTAGACACATGGACGAAGGGTTGCATCAGTGATTATACTTTATCCCTGTGGGGAGCCAAGAAGGATTGTTAAAGCAGGAGTATAATATGAACATAATTGCATTTACAAGTACCTCTTGGCCAGAGTCTTGAAGGATAGATAGTAGAAGACTGATGGCAGAGACACCAGAAAATAAGTCATTAAAGTCTCGGGTCAGAGGTAAGGCCTGCCTGTTGTCTTAGTCCATTTGGTTGCTATAAAAAATACTGTAAACTAGATATTTATAAGCAATAGAAATTTATTTCTCATAGCTCAGGATCTGGGAAGTCCAACGTTAAGGCACTGTCAGATTCAGTGTCTAGCAAAGACTGCTTTCTGGTTCAAGATGGTGCCTTCTATCTGTCTTCACATAGTAGAAATGGTGAGGGATCTGTTTTGGGCCTCTTTTGTAAGGGGACTAATCCCATTCATGAAGGGCTTAATCCTCATGACCTAATGACCTCCCAAAGGCACTGCTTCCTAACACCATCACATAGGGGTTAAGATTTAAACATGTGAAGTTTGAAGGAACACAATCATTCAGACCACTGGGCCTTGGCTAAGAAATTGGTGAGGGGAAGAAGAGTAAGGAATGGATTATAGTGATGCTTTAGAAGATGGAATTCATGGAAACTCACAGCCAATGACAGGCCTGGATTCAGATAAAGATGTAAATTTGGTAGAAAAAATCAAAGTGAGTTTTCACCCACTGACCTCTTCTTCTCATTGTATTTTGAAGTAGGAAGCAAAAGCAGCTGATGAGAATAAGGAGGCTAAAGCTGGACTAGAGGGCTTGAGATTGTGCAGAAGGTTTGGGATGGGAGACGAAATGCATCCAAGTCAACTGAGAGGAATATCGTGCAGCTCCGATACACCAATGTGGATGGTTTCAGGAGTGAAGCAAGTTGAAGGATGAGTTGATGTAGGTTTGGAGATTTGTTTCTCTACAGGAAAAGACAGGGCCTGGCTAAGCAGGTGTTTAGTATTTGTTGAACGAATAAATGCTTGCCTGGACACTGTTGAGAAGGAATTTATTAGGGATATGGTGCAAGAAAATAAAGATCTAGAAACAAGTAACTAATCTTATTTCCTAAGACATCTTTATCAGAGAAGCCTCATGTGACCCAGAGTAGGTTCAGCGCCACCTTGTATGCCCCATGGCACTTGGTGCCTTCCGTTCATTGGATTTTGCTTCTCTTTCAATTAGAAGTAGGTTATTCATGACCATTTGCGTGATGTCATCATCCCCAGGGGTCTGTTATTTCTGTTTTGTTGACATGGTATCCTAAGTGCTGACACACAGTAGTCACTCCATCAATCTACAGTGCTGGATACAAAGATGTTAATGGAGGGAATGACATGTATTTTTTTTTTTTTTTTTGAGGCGGAGTCTCACTCTGTTGCCCAGGCTGGAGTGCAGTGGTGTGATCTCGGCTCACTGCAAGCTCCGCCTCCCGGGTTCATGCCATTCTCCTGCCTCAGTCTCATGAGCAGCTGGGACTACAGGCGCCCTCCACCATGCCCGGCTAATTTTTTGTATTTTTAGTAGAGACGAGGTTTCACCGTGTTAGCCAGGATGGTCTCGATCTCCTGACCTCGTGATCCACCCACCTCCCCCTCCCAAAGTGCTGGGATTACAGGCGTGAGCCCCCGCACCCGGCCCCGACATGTATTTTTATATATTTTGTTACTTGATGGTCTCTTGTAAGGTTTTGTGAATTGCTTTAATTAGTAAGAAAACTGGTAAGCTAAATGACAAATGGTACTTTATTGGAATATAGTCTCTTTCTGGCTCATAAGGAAGAGAAATTTGTGTAATTACATCAAAATTATATGGATATTACACAGTGATTAGATAAATAAATATAAAACCGTACAGCTTCAGGGCAACTTACACCTAGCCTCTGTAATAATTACACTTAACCTTGACATTATTTATGGTTTCCTTTTCCCCCTTATTACACGTTTTATCATACTAAGTGTTTTAAACTGATAATGCTCAAAAGTAGCACATGATGTGTATTATTATAGAAATTAATGCTTGCCTTAATAACAGATGCTTTCTATTTGGGGTTTGAAATGAAGAAGCAGATATTTTCCTAGAATACATCTGGAAGTGATTTTATTACTAAAACTGAAAAAAAAAACCTTTCAGGTATCAAATGTGTCTGGTCTGTGATACGTCAGATTTCTGAATTCTTACACTTTTATTTCCTATAGAAATCTGAAAGTGTGTTATTAAAAGTTAAACTGTTCTGTAGATTGTCTACCTAATTTCATAAGGTTTAGTGTAATAGATATGAAATCTATGTCACATCTACTGTGTGGTCTTCATATCTTAGTTATATTTAGAATTTTGATCAATAGATTTTGGTAGAACATTATTGAACTTTCTCTTTTTTTTTTTTTTGAAGATGGAGTCTCACTCAGTGGCCCAGGCTGGAGTGCAGTGTTGCGATCTCGGCTCACTGCAAGCTCCGCCTCCCGGTTTCACGCCATTCTCCTGCCTCAGCCTCCCAAGTAGCTGGGACTACAGGCGCCTGCCACCACGCCCGGCTAATTTTTTTGTATTTTTTGTAGAGACGGGGTTTCACCATGTTAGCCGGGATGGTCTCAATCTCCTGACCTCATGATCCGCCCATCTTGGCCTCCCAACGTGCTAGGATTGAACTTTCTCTTTTTTAATGATATTATTTTACATCATAAAATGTGATTTTACTTAACAGCACAAATATGTTCTTCAAAAATGAGTCTATCAAACAAAACGTTCATAAATTAAAATCAGAATGAAATATAAATGCAAATTTTGAAAGCTAAATCATTGTTTATATTTTAAAATATTCTATATTTCCTCACCTTAAAAATTGGATGCTATTCACAAATATTCCTAAAGAATATTTTTGTTCAGCTAACATCAAACTGTGGATTACTTACATAGTGAGTTACACACTACCTATCTTTTCCTCTGCCAAGCTGTATTCCAGACTGCCATAATTAATTAAGTAGGTGAATGAATCTCTGATGGGTTGTATGTCTGTTTCTATACTCCTCAGAGAGTTTCTCTCTTCCACTGTGTTAGAACACCAAATAAATTGGGTCTCTATCACTACTCCAGGTTATTATGAAAGTAAACATCTGGTTTTACCTTCAGAAAATAGCATTGGTTGTTCAAAATTCAAGATATGCGTGTGTACATTAGCCTAAAATTTATTTTTTGAAATTATAATGGGATTGTTATATAACTCCTTCTGCAAGAATATTGTCAAACAAAAAAATCTGTATCTGTCTTTCTCACTGAAATATTGTGAGAGTTAATGAGACATTTGTGGCTAGATCGTGCAATCCTTTCAGGAATCTCAAAGCAAGAACAAAACAGCATTTCCTTTTGAAAGGCATATGTTTTACTGTCAAACCAAACTTAAAGCAGTAGGAATGATACACATTTCTGAGTTAACTTCCTGCTTTCTTGGACGTGTCAAAATTACTGATGTTCCAGCGTGACAGAAGCCTAGTAATGAAGGAACCATGTAGGTGGAAAAAAATTATTACCCGACTTGCAATCAAATAATAGAACATAGGTATATAATATTCAAAGAAAAGAAAGTGAGAGTCTGAAGTCATGCATAAAGCAAAATCTTCACAGTAAATTGATAGGCTGGGCGCGGTGGGTCACGCCTGTAATCCCAGCACTTTGGGAGGCTGAGGTGGGTGGATCACAAGGTCAGGAGTACGAGATCAGCCTGGCCAACATGGCGAAACCCCGTCTGTACTAAAAATACAAAAATTAGCTGGGCGTGGTGGCGGGCGCCTGTAATCCCAGCTACTCAGGAGGCTGAGGCAGGAGAATCGCTTGAACCCAGGAAGCGAAGGTTGCAGTGAGCCGAGATCGCACCACTGCCCTCCAGCCTGGGGAACAGAGCGAGACTCTATCACAAAAAAAAAAAAAAAAAAAAGTAACAGACTGGAGTCTTACCTATGTCTTACTTTTTCCCTAATTTTAAGTTAGACACTAATAGAGGTCCGGTAACTAATTGTATTCACTTATGTAGTACTTGGTATAGATTTTCATCTTAGGAATGTCAGAATAATGGTACTTACTGCTGACTGCTGTATATTACTGCTCAGGTTCAAGACAGAAAACCGAGAGTTACTTCTATTTCCTCCATTTCACCTCATCCTCCCGTTTCAAGGGATTGGTGAGAACCTTTGATGTTATCATCTCCAAACATACATCAAATTCCTGCCCTCTCTCTCTCCTGTCCACTGCTACCCCATCATCTCTTCTGTCCATTGCTACCCCATCATCTCTTGCCTGAAATACTACAACCAACCCCCTTGTCGCTCCACTGTCTCTCTTGCCACCCATCTCCCCCCACTATTCCATAGCCACAAGAAGCAAAAGTGACCTTCAAATGTCACTCAGATTGTATCACTCCACTGCAAGGACTTACCATTGCACTTATTTTAAAACCCTAATCTCTCTTCCTGGCCCCTGTCTGCCCCTTGCTCCCAAGTTCTGTCCATTTTGATATTCTTTCCTTTCCTTAAAACCCTGACTGTTTCCTCCTGGAGGGCCTCGGCATGGTGTGGTTTGCTCTTTCCCGTGACTTAGGTCTCAGCTTAAATGTCACTATCTTCAAGACGTTCTACTTGACTCCTTTTGTAAAGTTGGCTGAGACCATTTCCCTCCCTGCTTTATCCTCTCAGTTGTAATTTATTATGATGAGTGTTATTCATGTAGCAGAAAGTATCTCCTTTCATGCATTTGCCGCCAATTGCCACTGTTTATCTGCATGTTTGTTGCATGTGAGCTCTCTGAGCACAGGAAGCTGGCTTACACACAGCACCTTGGAGTAAATGAATGAATGGTCGAATGAAAAGTGCTGATAGGCCGGGTGCAGTAGAGGTTCATGCCTAGCACATTTCTATAAAATCAGTTGGACGTGAAGTTTGACAGTGGCTTTTTCACTCTGTCTGCTGCCATGACATGCAAATAGTGCCTTCTCATGTGAGTTGCATTGTTGGTGAAATGGGCCTCGGTTTCTTCACCTGAAGCAAAAGAAATGAGAGCAGATAATCACCAAAATTCCAGCTCTAAAATCCCCCAGGCTGTGCAGATGCCACCTATCCCCAGAAATGGCTTGAAATGCCACGTGGAGCTAAGGAGTCTCTTCCTGAAGGAAAGAATGAGCACAGTCTGAGGAGGGTGTCTGGGGAGCGCATCGATTTCGGAGCTGCTGTGGGAATATACTTAGGTTCTACTGGAGAGCTCATCTTGCAGAAGCTGACTGCATTGAACGTGCCGGGGACCACCTGGTCCCCCTCTTCTCGTTTGGCAAGAATCCCGGCTATCGATGAAGAAACCAGCTGCTTTCCTATGTAGTGAACAAGCACAATAATGTTTATACAGTTTCCCAGCCTCTCTTCCCCCACCCACTTTCACCCTTCCTCACCCAAGAATAATCGTGCCAAATAGATATCAGATTAAGAAAATGCTTCTCATTAGTTGTCTGCTCAAAACAACTTTGGAAGCAATCCTAGAACATCCCGTTGTATCTTCACAGCCCTTTATCTCTTGAAAGTTGTTGAGAGAGCTAAATTAAAGTTGCCTACCATTAATCCTTGCTCTCAACACTGTAAATCAAAGGAATGAAATACTTCTCATCACAATTCAGATCCCAAACAGGTAAAAATTACAACATAAAGCAAAATCTAATACTGGCATTGCCCCTGTCACCTGAGCCACGTATCCTGACTGAAGTAATCAGCAAGGGGCAGGCTTGTACTGCAACTCAACAATTGTTTCAGTGGCCATGGGTTGTGTAAATACATTCCATTTTTAACGTCCCCATACTAAAAACGAGATGTGGTCATCTTCACTTGGTTCTTAAAACGGATAGGTTAGATCCAGTCTCCACAGCTGTTTTGCAATTTCACGTTATAGTGACAGCTTCCATAATACAAATTCAGATTGTAAAGACTGACCTCTCTTCACTGTCACAGAGCATTCTGGGTGAAGGCTTTTTATCTGCAAGTTGCACTTGACAAGCGTTTTAGAGAGGGAAGGTAGCAAAATAAAGAATCAGACAACGAGTCAAAGGAGCTAAGCTCTGTTCCGAGAGGCCCTGATATTGATTTGTGGAGCCTTGTGTCATTTTCTCTATCTGGGCTCCAGTTCTTCCATTTACAAAATATGGATCATGGACCATATTGTCAACCTGTGTAATCCACGAAGTCAGTTTTTATAGATATAGAGCCAGCACTGATCAAATGTGTCAGCCTCTTACAACCACAGCGGCATTATGAAGATCTGTAAGTGAGCACTTACGGAGCTTCCTAAACACCTTGGGAGGAAACCAGTCAGTGTCTGAACACAAAGAATTTATCTACAACATAAAACAAAAACCACTGCAGAGTCAGAGATCCCAGTGCCCTCATCATCGCCTCTTCTAGGATTACACAGTCACGGAACGTGTGCATCCGCCTCCAGAATCGCTCCCCAAATTCCATGGGGTAAATATTTTACTAGAAAATGTGAGTCAAAAGGAAAGCAACCTGTCTCTAAAGTAAATCTTATGGAATAAGGTTTTTAATATTGTGAAAAACACAAACTAACCATTCTTTCCTAACAAATACCCCTAGGGATGGGGGAAGCACAAGGATCTCTGCGATCAAGCCCTGCCGGGCCGCAGCTTTCATTAGGTTGCAGAGGCAGCTCTTCCTTTCCCTGAGTGTTCCTGCATCCTTGAGGCCCCTATAAAGAGGACTCAGCGTCTGTTTGGCACCGCCTGTTCTCCTCCTTCCTTGTGTCTCTTCGTCCACTCTGTCACCACGGCGCTCGCAGTTTTCTCAGGAGACACCTGGATCTCAGGCTCTAAGGCCTGTCTCACTCTGTGACGCATGTGGTCATGAGCACTCTGACCTCCGCATGAGGATGGTCAGATGGCAGAGGGCAGAACACTGGGTCAGAGATCTGAAACCCAGCATGCAGCCCTACCTCTGCCTGTCACAGGTTTTAAGACTTTGGCGAGTCTCAAATCTTCAAGACCTGGCTTCCCTTATCTATAAGACAAAGAGATCGGCTTGAGTGATGTTTGAGATGTTTTCCACCCTGCAGTGATTCATTATAAAATAATAGACATCCTCTGACTCCTATGGACCAGTCAAGGATTGAAGCTTCTTAAGGCCAGTTATTCCTCTGCCATCTGACTCGCACATGTAGCAGTCTCTAAAGATTGCCTACTTCAGTCATCTGATTGCGTCTGTTTCACAGATTCTTCTGGAATTTTTCTTCTTTCAGTTGGCTTTTTTTTATCGTGGTCAAAACCCCCATAGTCGACTATGATCTAAATAAGCAGTGCCCTCTCTATTAAGAACAGTGTTGAATTACCTATTCTTGCAACCACATTGACCGAGCTTCATCTCTGTTATAAATCATAACCTGAACAGACAATCTCAGTGCATCCCGGCACCTGCAGATTGGATATATCAGTAGAAGTTCCCTCATCCCCCAGTTCCACATGCACAGCACTCATTGAAGTGAAAGCATGAGTCTCCCATATTGAAAGACGAGAAGATCCCATAACACATCTGTGAATCTGGACATCTCAAGCTGCCTTTCAATGGATTTTAGACTGTGATCATACGGAGGGCTGAAGAATTGTCTGCTCTACGTCTTCCACAGTGTACTGGTCTTGTATGTCTAACACCCTATAAGAGTAAACAATGTGCTCTGATAGATGAGAATTCTAAAAAAATGATATCTTCTATAATGATTCTTTAGATTTAAATGTTCATTATGGCATTTAGGAATCCCTGTTATAAAGCAGGTTTTAAAAATGTTTTATCCACCATGTCATACTTTTGAAGAAGCTATGATCTCAGGAATAAGAGATAGGTTACAAGAGTTCTCTATCATGGAGAAACTTACTTTTAAAACTGTAACATCAGTAAAGAAAAAAATGTAGAACATGGACAACTAAGCTTTGTTCCTAGTACGGTAAAGTGATGCTGATGTTGGTGATTGCTATGGATTTTGAGTGGGACTTAGTTGAAACACAGCATAAGTCCAACATCAGTCCTCAACTTGGCCCCAGCACTGACCAGTCATGAGGCAGCAGAGGAGTCACTGCCCCTCTCTGGCCTCAGTCCCTTGTCTGTAAAATTAGTAAAAGGCGGTTTGCCCTAACCAGTTCACACTGCTGACTTGAAAGCCAGACGATGTGAAAGTCTGTTGCAAGTGTAATGCGATCTTTCCATCTAATGCGAGGCCTGGCTCCATTTCATGCATGATCACCTTCAGCTGTGACTGCAGCCCTTGCTGGTAGGACCTCTCTCAGGGACTCCCACTCACCCCTAACCTTTAGCACTGAATGTCAGGTTGGTGACTCCCACTCTTGCTCTGTAGCAAGCAAGGCAATTCTTTTACTTAAATGTCATTTTGTCTTTAAAGTTCTAAGTCTTCTTTTTTGAGATTCCCTTCTACCAGTTTTTTCTCCCCAAATTAGATATTCCACAATTTTCAACCTTTTTTGAGCTTATTCAGCATATTTATGTTGTACTAAGTCATTGTTTCAATAAAGAAGAACTAAAAAAGTGCTAGAAATAAATTGTCCTGCTTTGCATAAAACCTTAAGAGTAGTGTGTGTGTATGTGTGTGTGTGTGTATGCGTGCGCACGCTATTACAGAGATAGATCTTTTGCAGAATAATAAAAATAACTATGGGGGTCCTATTATTTAGACAGAAGGGGTTAAATGAACCCTACAAGCTTCTTACTGTCAGGAGAGAATAGATTTCAGAAAAAATAAAGACAAGGAAACAAGCCCCAAAGCTATAAATTTACCCACAGTGTTTAAACACTCCTTTGTGATTATTTTCTAAATTTTCTCAGGTACCCTTTTTCATTTGAAATGTTAGTGGAAAGTTCTGGAGAAGAATTTATTGCAAGTAACGTAATAATTATAAAATAGAAGAAAAGGGCCCTGCTGACTTGCCAGAGCTTGAAGCAAAAGAGAAAGTTGCCTGCATTGACGGGGCTCGCTCAAGTATTTCAGTTTCAACACAGCTGTCCTTTCTCATTGCAGATGGAGGGCGGCTGCCACCATATGCCACCTCTGTAATAAACAAAAGTAGTGCAACAATATAATTAATAGCAAGCCATTTTCATTTTTAAAATTCCAAAAAGGAATATGCTTTTCACGAAAATTCAAGATGTAATGCCCAAGTAAATTGGGCAAAATACAGCAATGTATCAATGAGATTCCACTTTAAGAAAGCCAATATACAAAATATTGTACTTGAAAGTTAACATTACTGTCATCACAAATTACTTGCTTATATTTCTTTATAGTACTTTAAGAATTGTAGTCTCACCTACTTCATTCAAAATGACTCATCCTGTAACCAGTCTTTTCCTGGGATCTGTTGTATCTCCATTATATACCACTGAAAATATTTACTAAATAGGTTCCCCAAATAAAAATATGATTTGTTACATAGAATTTTCTGCCTTTTTCCTGTTTCCTATTGACATGCATTGTTTCCTTAAATAATGATGATGATATTAATAATTGCTAACACATATCATGCTTAGTGTATTGTTAAGAGCTTTATATTTAATCATGAATAATCTTATCCGGGAGATATTATTATCTCCACGTTACAGATGATAAAACTGAATCATAGAAAGATTCGTCACTTGCCTTTCTTATAACTCGTTAGTGATGAGTGGGGCTTGAACCTGGCAATCCTTCTCCAAATCCGTGGTCTGAGTCACTGTCCTGTGAATTAGGGCTCAGTAGCAATGGCTCTTTTGCCACGGCTTGCTATGATTGACTCTTACAGCAGTGAGCTCTCTCTACAGTACTCAAGATCTGACTGTGGTACTCCATCTGACTTTTCTGACTTTTGCTGAGAACTTTATGGAAAATATGTGAATGTGGAGGAATTTCAAGAGAATCCCTGCAATAATCTGAGCTTGTTTTGTTGTGTTCTCTCTGCCTTCTTGTCTGGACAATGCCTACCAAGGTATCCAGACAGGAAGTCCATGTTGGCTGAGAGGCTGAAAATACATAAGCCAATAGATGGTAACTCAAGCTGTGCAAGGGACCCAGCCACCGTCATGTAAATTGCTACCATGATCTAAGCTTAATTATCATAGACAGTACTAATTAAAAGACAATATTGTAAATATAAACTGGCCCTGATATATGGCAAATGATTAGTATGTATTACAACTTGCTAAATCAAAAACATGTCTTAAAATACAAGATAGTATTGCAATAAGTACTAGAGAATGCGACAAGAAAATTAATCATCTGCTCTTTACCACAAATTCCTTGTACAGGATATCTGCTCTTTGTGTTTTGTTTCACACTTTAATGCAATAAAGTGTTTACAAAGCATAAAGCACTCTGTTCATTTGTCATGTTTTACTTTAGCTTTTCCATTTTTTTCTCTCTACAACACTTTTCACTGAAGATAAGTTTGCTGACATATGGCATAATCATTTTTTCTCTTAGTTACCCAATTCTGCTTCACAACTTTAATTTTTATATCTATTCGAAATTAGTTTTAATTACCTCAACACTTTAAATTGATTTAGCTCTGGTTTTAGAAAAAAATTCAAATAAAATCTTTAGCAGGTCCTTCTTCTCTCCCTCCCTTCTTCTCTCCCTTTTCTCCCTTTTTCCTTCTTGCCTTCCTTCCTCCCTTCCTCCCTCTCTCCCTCCCTCCCTTCCTTCCACAAATACTGCTCAAGTCCTACCATACCGAGTACTGCACTGTAAATACAAAGATGAAAAGTTACAAACCTGCCCCCTCGGAATTTGCACATCCAGTGAGGCGATTGACAGAATGTGCTGGAAAGGGCTGGGTGTGAGACGGGATTTGAGACAAGAGCAGAAATTCATGGAGGTGGGCAGGGCAGGGAAGGCTTAGCAAAAACAAACAAACACGAAGATGAACAGAATAAAGTGTATGTTTGAGAAATCCTGAAACCCGGAGGCCGTGAGTAGTGAGAAATGGAAGCAAGAGACACCAGACAAGGCGAGAAGGGATGTTTGGCTCCAGAATAACAGAGGCACTGAGTAGCGTGTTTTAAAACTTAAATTGTAAGTTTGAGATTTAAATAGAGAAGGAAAACGATTTTGAGTTTTGACAAAATAACTTTGGAAACCATTCAAAGAGTGGACTGCAGCTGAATGATGCTGGCAGGTGTGGAACAGTCTAGCCATTATGAGGGCCGAACGAAGTGACCCTATCATGGATGGAAAGGTGGGAGGGAGATAGAAATCTTTAACTAACAGGACTGGATAAAGGACTGGAGTTGAGGGGGGAAGAAAGGTAGTTGCTGATACCCTCCAGGTTCTTATAATGAATGAGTTGGAGGCAGTGCTGTCAAGAGACACAGGAGGAACAGCAGGCTGTACAGAAAGATAATAAGATAACTCTGGTGTATAGATGTAGAGATGGAACAGCAGTGTGGTATCCAGATTAAGTATTCAAGTCATAGCCACTGAAATTTGGAACGAGGTACATATGCCTGGTTTCATTTTTATCGTTTAACTTCTTTTAGAGAATCTAACTAATGTAATAAATATCTATAAAACAATATTTTCTTATAGAAATATACTATCACACACACAATGGATGACAAATATTGAAAAGAAGAAAAATTATTTTGTTATATAATTATGTCACACAACAACAAAATCAAGATATTCTAAATTCTAAATACTATTATTAGAAGTATCAAATAAAAATGAAAGTAGGGTGCATGAATATAAAAAAATACGCAAAATGAAAGTGGTTTTCTTTATAGTATTGATAACCAATTGGAAATGAAAACAGGGTAAAATACCACAAAAATAACAACACTGTACAAGTCCTAAGAAAAATATAGCGAGAAACTTGCAGGACTTGAGTAAATGAGAAATATTTGTTAAGTAAGAACAAATATAATGGTATTGCAGGTTAATAAATTGTTTATTATATAAATATTTAAAATTTTGTACAGCTAAAAATACTTTAAATATAGATATGAGTTGAAGGATAGACTCAAAGAAAATATTTGTAAACATTTGATAAATAATATCACTAACATACAAATAGCTCCTTTATAATGACAATAAAAAGATCCATAGCGTAAATACAAATGGAAAAGTCTTAACAGGTAATAGATAAATGAATATAAATTGTCATGTAAAAGTCCTTCTTCTGAACTAAAAGTTAAGAAAGTGAAAATTAAACATATAAACAAGATACCATTTTCTTTTATTAAAATTTCAAATTAAAAAAAAAAACCAGCAATAAGTCCTAGCAACGGCTGTATTGATATTTACCTGGTAAGCTAAGTATCACCAATAAAATACTAATGTTCCACTTCATAAATATTCGCCACCCTGAGCCCCTTTTTTTTCTCCTCGAACCCCATCCCACCCTTCTCCGACTGACCAAACCCTTCCAACTTCAAGAGCAATAATTAGAGGATTAATTTGTGGCACTTGAATGTTCCTGCCTAGCTTATTATTAAATATTTAGAATAGTATTTCTGGGTATGAGTACAGCACAATGGGGATACTCAGTTATACTGCAGTTGGGAATATGAAGTGTTAAAACTTTTTAAAAGAGTTACATTACTATGTTTATTAAAACTCAGTATCTGCTTATTTTTAAACACCCCAAAACTACCTTATTTTTTAATCTTATAAAAATAAAAGCACTGACATATGTATAAAGATGTTTATGGCCAGGCACAGTGGCTCACGTCTGTAATCCCAGCACTTTGGGAGGCCGAGGGAGGCAGATCATCTAAGGTCAGGAGTTCAAGACCAGCCTGGCCAACATGGGGAAACCCCATCTCTACTAAAAATACAAAAATTAGCCAGGCATGTTGGCAGGCGCCTGTAATCCCAGCTACTTGGGAGGCTGAGGCAGGAGAATCACTTGAACCCGGGAGCCGGAGGTTGCAGTGAACCAAGATTGCACCACTGTACTCCAGCCTGGGTGACAGAGTGAGACTCCATCTCAAAAAAAAAAAAAATGTTTATAACAGCATAAATAGCCCCCAAACTATAAACAGCATGAATGCTCATTACTTAGAATATGGCTGAAGAAATTATAGTATATTTCTATAAGAAAATATTGTGTTTTATAGATATTTAAAAGAACAGATTAAATTTGTGTTTACTGACTTAGAAAGATGCCCATAATGCACTGTTTACAAGAAAAAACACAATGTGTAGGGTAACATGTACTTTTGTTTAGAATACCAGTTTTATTTTAGAAAAAGAAATACATCTCTCTCTGGCTCTATCTCTGTCTCTCTATCTCTGTCTGCCTGTCTGTCTGTCTCTCTCACACACACATACACACACACACACATTGTAGACATAATTCTATATGGTGTGAGGATTAAAATGTATGAACAAATACACTCCCAGTTGTTGGGGATGGGTGAAGGGGATATGCACAGGATATTAACTTTTTCTTCATATAACTCTGTATTGTTAGACTTATTTTATTCAGCATTTTATTCTTGCCCTTCTAAAAAAAACTGTAGAAACTCCAGACAAAGAGAAGTCTAGAAATGACATTCTCCAGAGTTGAAGGAAAATAGTGATTATAATAGAGCATGACAAATTAAACACAGACTATATTATTTAATAAGAAAAGAAAAATAATAAAAATTTAAACCCACCAAATAATGAAATGCTTTGTTGAACTAAGCAATTTCCTCTAGAACATTGATTTTTAACATTTTTAAGGGTGACTCATCCTTAGAAGAATTGGATGAAACACTTTTCCCGGATAAAGGTAGCTGAGTTCTCAAATCCATAAATTGCATAGAATTGTATAGGTTTGCTGAATCCCTGTTCTCCAGTCTCCTAGTTAATTATTTAATTAAAAGCAATTGTAAATAAGTGCAAAACATATATTCGTTATATAGGTCCTCTTCTCATTGTTTTGATAATAACCTGTCTTTATAATGACCTGCTTTCTTAGGACGAATATGTTTATTTCAGAATTAAAGCTTTAAAGCTAATTCAACCCCACTTTGCCAGTCCAAGATGCCTTTACTCTTCTGTTAAGCTTGCCACTCCCTTCCTCCTGGGGTGAGGTGACATCTCACTGTGGTTTTGACTTGCATTTCCCTGATTATTAGACATGTTGAGGATTTTGTCATCTACCTGATGGCCATTTGTATGTCTTCTTCTCTGAAGAAGTCTATTTGGATCTTTTGCCCATTTCTTTATTGGATTATTTTTCTTGCACTGCGTTGAGTTCATTTATATTCTGGATATTAACTCCTTGTCAGATGCATCATTTGTACATATTTTCTCTCATTCTGTAGGTTGTCTCTTCACTTTGTTGAGTGTCTTCTTGGCTGTGCAGAAGAAGCTTTTCAGTTCAATGTAATCTCATTTGTCTACTTTCGCTTTTGTTGTGTGTATCTTGGAGATCTTATCCAAAAAATCCTTGTCCAGACTATGTTGTGAAGCCCCCTTTTGAGTGGTGCTAATAAATTACAATTATGTTTAAATTATTTGATAAAATTGTATCTCTTACACACTTGAAATGTTGGTATAATTTTATAATTTATCTGATTTTTTTAGCTTTACTTTGAGCTAAAATCACCTTTTGACTTATTTTCCTGTCAGAATAAATAATATATGCAGCAAAGAATACTAAAGATAGACTAATGAAAGTTTAATGTGCTTTCTATTTAATAGTAATTCGGAAGTTTACTTAAATAAAATAAATTCACAGGTATTAAAAATTCTCCCTCAGAGCTTTTAGGGCCTAAAGTTGGTAAATAATATTCAGTCCAGAAAAAAAATGAAACTTAGAAATTAACAGAAATGAATACTAAACTGCAAAAATTTATATTTAGAAAGAAGAAAGGCCTGCGAGTTTTAGAAAGATATGTAGTTTAATGGTGGAATTTAATAAATGGTCGATATGTTAGCTTCTTTGTTCAGCTAATTCATACTCTTTAGAAGGTTCAAGGTTTTCCCAGTACTAGTTCTCATCACAATTATGTGAAACACACACATACACACACACACACACACGCACACACACACATTTTCAGTGTAATAATTACTAGCATAAGTTTTTAATTACACTGCATACAGATCTCATGTCATTAGGCCCAGGTCATAAATGTATGCCTAATACTCTTCAGTCAGTTCACCATTGTTTTACCTAGTCTCTTAAAAATAAATGTGAAAATGTTTATTCCTCTGGCTTTTCAGTAGGGGCAGTTGAGATCTCATGTCTTTCTTGCCATATATTAAGAAAAAATGTTAATTAGGTGCTACCATGATGTTTTTCTACCAGGATTAAGTAAGGTTCAGAAGCAGATAAATATGGCAGAATTGGAGAATTACAATAATACTCTTGTTTTTGGCATTTGTTGGCTTTTTTGCTTAGAATTTCCAAGTATGTTTTTACATTAATATTCTCCATTTAAGAAACATCCTATGGAGTAGCAACAGGGAAATACTGTTTTATCTACTCAACCTACAGAGACAAAGCTAAATGCAGAAGGATAATTTGCTCATTTAGGATCTGATGTTCTCGACCTTCCATCACTTATGTGGAAGATATTTCATATTTGCCTGATATAAATATTGGCAATGTATGGCCCCGCCTTTAAGAATCTCATTAAATTTATCTGTAATAAACTATACTACAGGAAACTATGGTAATTACTACAATACAAGTTAAGTGTCATCGTAACAGGAAGCAGGAATGGGAGCCATTACTTTCTTTTTTTTTATTTCAATAATTTTTGGGGAACAGGTGGTGTTTGGTTGCATGGAAAAGTTCTTTAGAGGTGATTTCTGAGATTTGGGTGCACCCATCACCCGAGCAGTGTCTACTGTACCCAATGTGTAGTCCTTTATCCCTCACCCCCTCCCAAACCTCCCACTGAGTCCCCAGTGTCCATTATATCATTCTCATGCCTTTGTGTCCTCATAGCTTGACTCCCACTTATGAGTGATAACATACGATGTTTGGTTTTCCATTCCTGAATTACTTCACTTGGAATAATACTCTCCAATTCTATCCAGGTTGCTGCAAATGCCGTTATTTCATTCCTTTTGATGGCTGAGTAGTATTCCATGGTGTATATCTATAATATATTTATATATTTTTATGTATAAAACATATATATATATATATTTACAATGGCAAAAATATAGAACCAGCCTAAATTCCCATCAACCAATGATTGGATAAAGAAAATGTGATATATATATGTATATATACACACACACGCACACACATATACATGCTGTTTTCATGACTATGGCCTTATAATATAGTTTGAAGTCAGGTAACGTGATGCCTCCAGATTTGTGCTTTTTGCTTAGTCTTGCTTGCTTTGGCTATGTGGGCTCTTTTTTGGTTCCATATGAATTTTAGGATTTTTTTTCTAGTTCTGTAAAGAAAGATGGTGGTATTTTGATGGGAATTTCATTGAATTTGTAAGTTGCTTTTGGCAGTATGGTCATTTTCACAATATTGATTCTATCCATCCATGAACATGGGATGTGTTTCCATTTGTTTGTGTCATCTATGATTTCTTTCAGCAGTGTTTTGTAGTTTTCTTTTAGAAGTCTTTCATGTCCTTGATTAGATATATTCCTAAGTATTTTATTTTATTTATTTTGGAGCTGTTGTGAAAGGGGTTGAGTTCTTAAGCTGATTCTCAGCTTGGTCCAGTAAGATTGGTACCAATTCTTTTTTGAATGTCAGCTGTGAATCCATCTGGTCCTGGATTTTTTTTTTTTTTTTTTGGTTGACAAATTTTTTCTGTTAGTGTTTCAATATTGTTACTATTGTTACTTGTTATTGGTCTGTTCACGGTTTCTATTTCTTCTTGATTTAATCTAGGAGGGTTGTATATTTCCAGGAATTTATCTATCTCCTCCAGATTTTCTAATTTGTGTGCATAAAGGTGTCTACAGTAGCTTTAAACAATCTTTTGTATTTCTCTGGTATCGGTTACAATATCTCCCATTTTGTTTCCAATTGAGCTTATCTGGATCTTCTGTCTTCTTTTCTTCTTGGTTAACCTTGTGAATTGTCTATCAGTTTTGTTCATCTTTACAAAGAACCAGCTTTTTGTTTCATTTATCTTTTATATTGTTTTCTTTTTGTTTCAATTTCATGTAGTTCTGCTGTGATCTTTGTCATTTCTTTTCTTCTGCTGGGTTTGGGTTTGGTTTTTGTGTTTGTTTCTCTAGTTCCTTGAGGTGTGATGTTAAATTGTCTATTTGTGCTCTTTTAGACTTTGCGACGTAGGCATTTCATGCTATGAATTTTCCTCTTGGCAACACTTTTGCTGTATCTCAGTGGTTTTCATAAGTTGTGTCACTATTATCATTCAGTTCAAAGAATTTTTAAATTTTAATCTTGATTTCATTGTTGACCCAAAGATCATTCAGGAGCAGATTATTTAATTTCCATGTATTTGTATGGTTTTGAGGGTTCCTTTTGGAGTTAATTTCCAGTTTTATTCCACTGTGGCCTGAGAGAGTACTTGATATAAATTTTGATTTTCTTAAATGTATTGAGACTTGTTTTGTGGCCTATCATATGGTCTATCTTGGAGAATGTTCCATGTGCTGATGAATAGAATGTATATTCTGCAGTTGTTGGGTAGAATGTTCTATAAATATCTGTTAAGTCCATTTGTTATAAGATATAGTTTAAGTCCATTGTTTCTTTGTTGACTGTCTGTCTTGGTGACATGTCTAGTGCATTCAGTGGAGTATTGAAGTCTCCTACTATTATGGTGTTGCCATATATCTCATTTCTTAAGTCTAGTAATAATTGTTTAGAAATTTGGGAGTTCCAGTGTTAGGTGTATATATATTTTGGATTGTGATATTTTCCTGTTGAACGGATCCTTTTATCATTATATGATGTCCCTCTTTCTCTTTTTTAACTGTTGTTGCCTTAAAGTCTGTCTTGTCTGACCTAAGAATAGCTCCTCCTGCTTGCTTTTGGTTTACATTTGCATGGAATATCATTTTGCACTCCTTTCTCTAGGAGTTTATGTGAGTGCTTATGCATTAGGTGAGTCTCTTGAAGACAGCAGATACTTGGTTAGTGGATTTTTATCCATTCTGCCATTCTGTATCTTTTAAGTGGAGCATTTAGGCCATTTACATTCACTGTTAATATTGAGATGTGAGGTACTGTTTTATTCATCATGCTAATTGTTGCCTAAATACCTTATTTTTTTTTCCATTGTGTTAGTGTTTTATAGGCCCTGTGAGATTTATGCTTCAGGAGGTTCTATTTTGGGGTATTTCAAGGTTTTGTTTCAAGATTTAGAACTCCTTTTACCATTTCTTATAATGCTGGATTGGTAGTGGTGAATTCTCTCAGCATTTGTTTGTCTGAAAAAGACTTTATCTCTCTTTCATTTAGGAATCAGTTTTGCTGGATACGATATTCTTGGCTGATAATTATTTTGTTTGAGGAGGCTAAAGATAGGACCCCAATCCCTTCTGGCTTGTAGGGTTTCTGCTAAGAAGTCTGTTGTTAGTCTGATAGTTTTTCCCTTAGAGGTTACCTATGCTTTCGCTTCACAGCTCTTAAGATTATTTCCTTTGTCTTGACTTTAGGTAACCTGATGACTGTGTACCTAGGTGACAACTTTTTTGTGACAAATTTTTCAGCTGTTCTTTGAACTTCTTGTAATTGGATGTCTAGAACTGAAGTGAGGCCAAGGAAGGTTTTCTTAATTGTTCCCTCAAATACGTTTTCCAAGCTTTTAAATTTCTCTTCATCCTCAGGAATACCAATTATTCTTAGGTTTACCTGTTTAACATAATCCCAAATTTATTGGAGGTTTTGTTCATTTTTAAAATTCTTTTTTCTTTAAAAATTTTTTTTATTTCAATAGGTTTTTGGGAAACGGGTGGTGTTTGGTTACATGAATAATTTCTTTAGTGGTGACTTATGAGATTTTGGTGCACCCATCACCTGAGCAGTGTACACAGTGTCCAATGTGTAGTCTTTTATTCTTCACCACCCCCACCATTTCCCCTGAGTTTCCAAAGTCCAATTATCATTCTTATGCCTTTGCATCCTCATAGCTTACCTCCCACATTTGAATGAGAACATACTATGCTTGGTCTTCCATTCCTGAATTACTTCTCCTAGAATAATAGTCTCCAATTCCATCCAGGTTGCAGTGAATGCCATTATTTCATTCCTGTTTATGGCCAAGTAGTATTTCATGGTATATGCATACCACATTTTCTTTATCAACCCCTTGATTTAATGGGCATATGGGCTGGTTCCATATTTTTACAATTGCAAATTGTGCTGCTGTCAACATGCATGTGCAAGTATCTTTTTTGTATAACTTCTTTTCCTTTGGATAGATACCTAGTAGTGGGATTTCTGGATCAAATGGCAGATCTACTTTTAGTTCTTTGAGGAATCTCCACACTGTTTTTCATAGTGGTTGTACTAGTTTACATTCCCATCAACAGTGTAATGTGTTCCCTTTTCACCACATCCATGCCAACATCTAGTATTTTTTTATTATGGCCATTCTTGCAGGAGTGAGGTGGTATTGTATTGTGGTTTTGATTTGCATTTCCACAATATTAGTGATTTTGAGCAATTTTTCATATGCTTGGTTTTCCATTTGTATATCTTCTTTTGAGAATTGTCTATTCATGTCCTTAGCCCACTTTTTGATGCGATTGGTTTTTTTTTTTTCTTGCTGATTTGTTTGAGTTGTGGATTCTGGATATTCATCCTTTGTTGGATGTATAGATTGTGAAGATTTCTTCCCACTCTGTGGGTTGTCTGTTAACTGTGCTGATTACTTGTTTTGCTGTGCAGAAGCTTAAGGAAGGAATAGAATCTCTGAACAGGCCAATAACAAGCAGTGAGATTGAAATGGTCATTTAAAAACTGTCACCAAAAAAAGTTCACAAACAGATGGATTTACAGCTGAATTCTATCCGACATACAAAGAAGAATTGGTACCAATCATATTGACACTATTCCAAAAGATAGAGAAGAGGGAATCCTCCTTTCAGTCATTCTATGAAGCCAGTACCACCCTAATACCAAAACCAGGGAAGGACATTTAAAAAAACGAAAACTACAGACCAATATCCCTGATGAACATAGACACGAAAATCCTCAACAAACTACTAGTGAAATGAATCCAACAGCATATGAAAAAGATAATCCACCATGATCAAGTGGGTTCCATATGAGGGATGCAGGGATGGTTTAACGTACATAAGTCAGTAACTGTGATAAACCACATAAACGGAATTAAAAACAAAAATCACATGATCATCTCAATAGATGCAGAAAAAGCTTTTTGACAAAATCCAGCATCCCTCTATGATTAAAACCCTCACCAAAATCAGTATAGAACAGACATATCTTAACATAATAAAAGCCATGTATGACAATCCCACAGCCAACATTATACTGAATGGGGAAAATTTGAAAGCTTCCTCCTGAGAACTGGAACAAGACAAGGATGTCCACTTTCACCACTGCTATTCAACATAGTGCTGGTATTCCTAGCCAGAGCAATCAGACAAGAAAAAGAAATCAAGGGCATTCAAAATGGTAAAGAGGAAGTCAAACTGTTGCTGTTTCCTGATAATATGATTGTATACCTAGAAAACCCTAAAGACTCATCCATAAAGCTCCTAGAACTGGTAAATGAATTCAGCAAAGCTTCAGGATGCAAAATTAATGTACACAAGTCAGTAGCTCTGCTATACACCAACAGTGACAAATCTGAGAATCAAATCAAGAACTCAACCCCTTTCACAATAGCTGCAAAAATAAAATAAAATAAAATACTTAGGAATGTACCTAACCAAGGATATAAAAAACCTCTACAAGGAAAACTACAAAACACTGCTGAAAGAAATCATAGTTGACACAAGCAAATGGAAACACATCCCATGCTCATGGATGGGTAGAATCAATGTTGTGAAAATGACCATACTGCCAAAAGTAATTTACAAATTCAATGCAATTTTCATCAAAATACCACCATCATTCTTTACAGAACTAGAAAAAAATCCCAAAATTCATATAGAACCAAAAAAGATCCCACATAGCCAAAGCAGGACTAAGCAAAAAGAACAAATCTGAAGGCCTCACATTACTTAACCTCAAACTATACTATAAGGCCATAGTCACCAAAACAGCATTGTACTGGTATAAAAAAGGTACATAGACTGATGGAACAGAATAGAGAACCCAGAAATAAAGCCAAATACTTACAGCCTACTGATCTTAGACAAAGCAAACAAAAACATAAAGTGGGGAAAGGACACCCTGTTCAACAAATGGTGCTGGGAATATTGGCAAGCCACATGTAGAAAAATGAAGCTGGATTCCCATCTCTCACCTTATACAAAAATCAACTCAAGATAGATCAAAGACTTAAATCTAAGACCTAAAACCATAAAAATTCTAGAAGATAATATTGGAGAAACCCTTCTAGATATTGGGTTAAGCAAAGACTTCATGACCAAGAACCTTGAAGCAAATGCAACAAAAATATGATAATTAGATAGGACTTTATTTTTTGTCTTTGTTTTTGTCTGATTGGATTAATTCGAAAGCCTTGTCTTTTAACTCTGAAGTTGTTTTTTCTGCTTGTTGTAGTCTATTGTCGACAATTTCCAGTGCATTTCATATTTCTTTAAGTGTGTCTTTTATTTCCAGAAGTTGTGATTGTTTTTTCTTTATGATATCTGTTTCCCTGGATAATTTTTCATTCTTATCCTGTATTTTTTTTCAATTTTTTAAAGTTGGCTTTCAACTTTCTCTGGTATCTCTTTGAGTAGCTTAATAATAAACCTTCTGAATTTTTTATTTGGCAATCCAGATATTTCTTCTTGGTTTGCATTAATTGCTGAAGAGTTAGTCTGGCCTTTTGGTGGTGTTATAGAGCCTGTTTTGTCATATTACCAGAATGTCTTTTCTGATTTCTTCTTCTTTGGGTAGACTACTTCAGTGGAAAAATCTGGAACTCAAGTCTGCTCTTCAGATTCTTTTGTCCCATGAGTTGATCCCTTGATGTGTTGTGTTCCCACTTCCCCTAAGGTTGAGGCTTTCTGAGAGCCAGATTGCATTGATTGTTATTGCTCTTCTGGGTCTAGCCACTCTGTGGAGCTACCAGGCTCCAGGCTGGTGCTGGGAAATGTCTGCAAGCTTCAGGTCTCCCAGCCATGGATACCAGCATGATATGGTTTGGCTATGTCCCCACCCAAATCTCATCTTGAATTGTAGCTCCCATAATCTCCACATGTCATGGGAGGGAGGTAATTGAATCACGGGGGTGGGTTTTTCCCATGCTGTTCTCATGACAGTGAATAAGTCCCACGAGATCTGATGGTTTTCTAAAGGGCAATTTCCCTACATACACTCTCTTGCCTGCTGCCATGTAAGACAAGCCTTTGCTCCTCCTTCACCTTCCGCCATGATTATGAAGCTTCCTCAGCCAGGCGGAACTATGAGTCCATTAAACCTCTTTTTCTTTATAAATTACCCAGTCTTAGGTGTGTCTTTATTAGCAACATGAGAACAGACTAATACACAACACCTGCTCTGGTGGAGGTGGCAGGGGATTGAAGTAGATAGACTCTGTGAGAGTCCTTGTTTGTAGATATGTTTATTGTGCTGACTTTCTCAAATGCTGATTATGCTAGCAGTGAAGTTGTCCCATGGACAGACCCAGGACCTCTGGTTATCCAGGATGCTGCAGGCAGTGGAATTAGCTGTTGTTTTCTCCTTCCTTGGAGCAGGGTTATTATGTCATGAGTTGCTGTAATGTCCTGAGTTGGTTGGCCTCCACCCAGGTGGTGGCACATTCAAGAGAACACCAGTTTTGCACCCGTCTCATGGAATTTGCAGTGGCATGCCATTTCTTTCAAGGGATCTGTGAATTCTTTTGGTTTTCCTGGTACATTCTTGAGGTGGTTCTTGGAGCAAAAGTCCATGGTATGAGTCTCCACATGCTTTTCTCTCCATCCAAGTGGGAGCTGCATGTTAGCCCTGTCTTCTATCTGCCATCTTCCTCTCTGAGTCCAGGAGCAATTACTTTTAAATTGAGGAAGAATGTTGTGAATTTCACTAGGGACACAGAGTGGGATTGGAGCAGAGATTTAACTGAATAAAGAGGAGAAGGGTCAATCGAGGTAGAGAGAGCAATAGATGCAGGTTCAGCATAGGTGAAAGCTGGGACGCTTGAGTTGAGGAGACAGTAGCAATGAAGCCGGACAGATGGATATGCATGGGGCAAGCCTTAGAAGAGCAAGTTGAGGAGTTCAGATTTCATTTATTGGGTATGAAAACAGCCACATAGCTGTTTTGGAAAGGGAAGTTGTTTTGGATAGGATCAGCTATGTTCTACAGAAAGCTATTATGTAGCCATTCTATGTAGAATCGTTGGAAATTGGTAAATTTTAAAATGTTCATAGACTTTAATGAGGTAATCCTGTTTCTGAGAGTTTATGCTAAGGAAACAACTGAATCTATTGAAACAGTTTTATGTGCAGCATATTCATTAAAATGCCAAACAAGAAAGGGAATGGTTATATAAACTATGGTGCAATCTCTTAATGGAAAATTAAGAAAACACTATGAATTTAAAAGTTTACAAAGAGTTCTTAATAATATGAGAACAATAACAGGTTATAGTAAAAGAAAAAGCAAAACTGAAAACTATGAGTATGGTTTGATTACAGTAGTTTTACAAAATTTTGTGGGGGCAAATAGGCAGGAGCTACTGACTGGTGAAACTATTGGTTTTCTTTCTACATTACAATGTTCAATACATTTCTCTAAGCATGTATTAGTTATGCGACGAAAAAATTCAATATACTTTTTAAATAGCCCAATCAAGAATAGACACGTCCAGTGCTACTACTCTGGCAAGACATGAACCAAGCAATGGCAGTGAGAATGTAGAGAAGGGGGCAGATTAAGATTTCAGGTGGAACATTGTTCTCATAGACATAAGCATAAGAAAGACCTAAGGCAAAAAGGACACTACAGCTCTGACTTCTACAGCTGGTTAGATACTGATGCTCTAGGTCACAACAGCAACTGCAGGAGGAGAAACAGGGTCAGAAGAGGAAACTTCCTAAGTTTGATATTGAATGTGTTTATTTGGAAGGATCCTGAGGATACCTGACAGATGTATCATAATGGCAGATGGAGATAAAAGTACGGTCATGCCTCAGTAGTGGTGGAAGGTTTGTTCCAGGACCCCTTTCAGATGCCAAAAACCATGGATGCTCAAGTACCTGACATGAAATGACATAGTATTTGCATATAACCTACACACATCCTCCTGTATACTTTAAACCATCTTGAGATTACTTATAATACCTAATACAATGTAAATGCTATGCAAATATTTGTTACATTGTGTTGTTTAGGAAATCATAACCAAAAAAATGTCTGTTCATATTCAGTACAGACACAACAAATCCATTTTTATGAATATTTTCAATCCTTGGATTGAATCCACAGATTGAAAACCCGCAGATATGGAGGGCTGACTGTGTTCAGTACTTCCTTTTTTTTTTTTTCTTTTCTTTTTTTTTATTATACTTTAAGTTTTAGGGTACATGTGCACATTGTGCAGGTTAGTTACATATGTATACATGTGCCATGCTGGTGCGCTGCACCCACTAACTCGTCATCTAGCCTTAGGTATATCTCCCAATGCTATCCCTCCCCGCTCCCCCGACCCCACCACAGTCCCCAGAGTGTGATGTTCCCCTTCATGTGTCCATGTGATCTCATTGTTCAATTCCCACCTATGAGTGAGAATATGCGGTGTTTGGTTTTTTGTTCTTGCGATAGTTTACTGAGAATGATGATTTCCAATTTCATCCATGTCCCTACAAAGGACATGAACTCATCATTTTTTATGGCTGCATAGTATTCCATGGTGTATATGTGCCACATTTTCTTAATCCAGCCTATCATTGTTGGACATTTGGGTTGGTTCCAAGTCTTTGCTATTGTGAATAATGCTGCAATAAACATACGTGTGCATGTGTCTTTATAGCAGCATGATTTATAGTCATTTGGGTATATACCCAGTAATGGGATGGCTGGGTCAAATGGTATTTCTAGTTCTAGATCCCTGAGAATCGCCACACTGACTTCCACAATGGTTGAACTAGTTTACAATCCCACCAACAGTGTAAAAGTGTTCCTATTTCTCCACATCCTCTCCAGCACCTGTTGTTTCCTGACTTTTTAATGATTGCCATTCTAACTGGTGTGAGATGATATCTCAGAGTGGTTTTGATTTGCATTTCTCTGATGGCCAGTGATGATGAGCATTTTTTCATGTGTTTTTTGGCTGCATAAATGTCTTCTTTTGAGAAGTGTCTGTTCATGTCCTTTGCCCACTTTTTGATGGGGTTGTTTGTTTTTTTCTTGTAAATTTGTTTGAGTTCATTGTAGATTCTGGATATTAGCCCTTTGTCAGATGAGTAGGTTGCGAAAATTTTCTCCCATGTTGTAGGTTGCCTGTTCACTCTGATGGTAGTTTCTTTTGCTGTGCAGAAGCTCTTTAGTTTAATTAGATCCCATTTGTCAATTTTGGCTTTCCTTGCCATTGCTTTTGGTGTTTTGGACATGAAGTCCTTGCCCATGCCTATGTCCTGAATGGTAATGCCTAGGTTTTCTTCTAGGGTTTTTATGGTTTTAGGTCTAACGTTTAAATCTTTAATCCATCTTGAATTGATTTTTGTATAAGGTGTAAGGAAGGGATCCAGTTTCAGCTTTCTACATATGGCTAGCCAGTTTTCCCAGCACCATTTATTAAATAGGGAATCCTTTCCCCATTGCTTGTTTTTCTCAGGTTTGTCAAAGATCAGATAGTTGTAGGTATGCGGCGTTATTTCTGAGGGCTCTGTTCTGTTCCATTGATCTATATCTCTGTTTTGGTACCAGTACCATGCTGTTTTGGTTACTGTAGCCTTGTAGTATAGTTTGAAGTCAGGTAGTGTGATGCCTCCAGCTTTGTTCTTTTGGCTTAGGATTGACTTGGCGATGCGGGCTCTTTTTTGGTTCCATATGAACTTTAAAGTAGTTTTTTCCAATTCTGTGAAGAAAGTCATTGGTAGCTTGATGGGGATGGCATTGAATCTGTAAATTACCTTGGGCAGTATGGCCATTTTCACGATATTGATTCTTCCTACCCATGAGCATGGAATGTTCTTCCATTTGTTTGTATCCTCTTTTATTTCCTTGAGCAGTGGTTTGTAGTTCTCCTTGAAGAGGTCCTTCACATCCCTTGTAAGTTGGATTCCTAGGTATTTTATTCTCTTTGAAGCAATTGTGAATGGGAGTTCACTCATGATTTGGCTCTCTGTTTGTCTGTTGCTGGTGTATAAGAATGCTTGTGATTTTTGTACATTGATTTTGTATCCTGAGACTTTGCTGAAGTTGCTTATCAGCTTAAGGAGATTTTGGGCTGAGACGATGGGGTTTTCTAGATAAACAATCATGTCGTCTGCAAACAGGGACAATTTGACTTCCTCTTTTCCTAATTGAATACCCTTTATTTCCTTCTCCTGCCTGATTGCCCTGGCCAGAACTTCCAACACTATGTTGAATAGGCGTGGTGAGAGAGGGCATCCCTGTCTTGTGCCAGTTTTCAAAGGGAATGCTTCCAGTTTTTGCCCATTCAGTATGATATTGGCTGTGGGTTTGTCATAGATAGCTCTTATTATTTTGAAATATGTCCCATCAATACCTAATTTATTGAGAGTTTTTAGCATGAAGGGTTGTTGAATTTTGTCAAAGGCCTTTTCTGCATCTATTGAGATAATCATGTGGTTTTTGTCTTTGGCTCTGTTTATATGCTGGATTACATTTATTGATTTGCGTATATTGAACCAGCCTTTCATCCCAGGGATGAAGCCCACTTGATCATGGTGGATAAGCTTTTTGAGGTGCTGCTGGATTCGGTTTGCCAGTATTTTATTGAGGATTTTTGCATCAATGTTCATCAAGGATATTGGTCTAAAATTCTCTTTTTTGGTTGTGTCTCTGCCCGGCTTTGGTATCAGAATGATGCTGGCCTCATAAAATGAGTTAGGGAGGATTCCCTCTTTTTCTATTGATTGGAATAGTTTCAGAAGGAATGGTACCAGTTCCTCCTTGTACCTCTGGTAGAATTCGGCTGTGAATCCATCTGGTCCTGGACTCTTTTTGGTTGGTAAACTATTGATTATTGCCCCAATTTCAGCTCCTGTTATTGGTCTATTCAGAGATTCAACTTCTTCCTGGTTTAATCTTGGGAGAGTGTATGTGTCGAGGAATGTATCCATTTCTTCTAGATTTTCTAGTTTATTTGCATAGAGGTGTTTGTAGTATTCTCTGATGGTAGTTTGTATTTCTGTGGGATCAGTGGTGATATCCCCTTTATCATTTTTTATTGTGTCTATTTGATTCTTCTCTCTTTTTTTCTTTATTAGTCTTGCTAGCGGTCTATCAATTTTGTTGATCCTTTCAAAAAACCAGCTCCTGGATTCATTGATTTTTTGAAGGGTTTTTTGTGTCTCTATTTCCTTCAGTTCTGCTCTGATTTTAGTTATTTCTTGCCTTCTGCTAGCTTTTGAATGTGTTTGCTCTTGCTTTTCTAGTTCTTTTAATTGTGATGTTAGGGTGTCAATTTTGGATCTTTCCTGCTTTCTCTTGTGGGCATTCAGTGCTATAAATTTCCCTCTACACACTGCTTTGAGTGCGTCCCAGAGATTCTGGTATGTTGTGTCTCTGTTCTCGTTGGTTTCAAAGAACATCTTTATTTCTGCCTTCATTTCGTTATGTACCCAGTAGTCATTCAGGAGCAGGTTGTTCAGTTTCCATGTAGTTGAGCGGCTTTGAGTGAGATTCTTAATCCTGAGTTCTAGTTTGATTGCACTGTGGTCTGAGAGATAGTTTGTTATAATTTCTGTTCTTTTACATTTGCTGAGGAGAGCTTTACTTCCAAGTATGTGGTCAATTTTAGAATAGGTGTGGTGTGGTGCTGAAAAGAATGTATATTCTGTTGATTTGGGGTGGAGAGTTCTGTAGATGTCTATTAGGTCCACTTGGTACAGAGCTGAGTTCAATTCCTGGGTATCCTTGTTGACTTTCTGTCTCATTGATCTGTCTAATGTTGACAGTGGGGTGTTAAAGTCTCCCATTATTAATGTGTGGGAGTCTAAGTCTCTTTGTAGGTCACTCAGGACTTGCTTTATGAATCTGGGTGCTCCTGTATTGGGTGCATATATATTTAGGATAGTTAGCTCCTCTGGTTGAATTGATCCCTTTACCATTATGTAATGGCCTTCTTTGTCTCTTTTGATCTTTGTTGGTTTAAAGTCTGTTTTATCAGAGACTAGGATTGCAACCCCTGCCTTTTTTTGTTTTCCATTTGCTTGGTAGATCTTCCTCCATCCTTTTATTTTGAGCCTATGTGTGTCTCTGCACGTGAGATGGGTTTCCTGAATACAGCACACTGATGGGTCTTGACTCTTTATCCAACTTGCCAGTCTGTGTCTTTTAATTGGAGCATTTAGTCCATTTACACTTAAAGTTAATATTGTTATGTGTGAATTTGATCCTGTCATTATGATGTTAGCTGGTGATTTTGCTCGTTAGTTGATGCAGTTTCTTCCTAGTCTCGATGGTCTTTACATTTTGGCATGATTTTGCAGCAGCTGGTACCGGTTGTTCCTTTCCATGTTTAGCGCTTCCTTCAGGAGCTCTTTTAGGGCAGGCCTGGTGGTGACAAAATCTCTCAGCATTTGCTTGTCTGTAAAGTATTTTATTTCTCCTTCACTTATGAAGCTTAGTTTGGCTGGATATGAAATTCTGGGTTGAAAATTCTTTTCTTTAAGAATGTTGAATATTGGCCCCCACTCTCTTCTGGCTTGTAGTGTTTCTGCCGAGAGATCCGCTGTTAGTCTGATGGGCTTCCCTTTGAGGGTAACCCGACCTTTCTCTCTGGCTGCCCTTAACATTTTTTCCTTCATTTCAACTTTGGTGAATCTGACAATTATGTGTCTTGGAGTTGCTCTTCTCGAGGAGTATCTTTGTGGCGTTCTCTGTATTTCCTGAATCTGAACGTTGGCCTGCCTTGCTAGATTGGGAAAGTTCTCCTGGATAATATCCTGTAGAGTGTTTTCCAACTTGGTTCCATTCTCCGCATCACTTTCAGGTACACCAATCAGACGTAGATTTGGTCTTTTCACATAGTCCCATATTTCTTGGAGGCTTTGCTCATTTCTTTTTATTCTTTTTTCTCTAACCTTCCCTTCTCGCTTCATTTCATTCATTTCATCTTCCATTGCTGATACCCTTTCTTCCAGTTGATCGCATCGGCTCTTGAGGCTTCTGCATTCTTCACGTAGTTCTCGAGCCTTGGTTTTAGCTCCATCAGCTCCTTTAAGCACTTCTCTGTATTGGTTATTCTAGTTATACATTCTTCTAAATTTTTTTCAAAGTTTTCAACTTCTTTGCCTTTAGTTTGAATGTCCTCCCGTAGCTCAGAGTAATTTGATCGTCTGAAGCCTTCTTCTCTCAGCTCGTCAAAGTCATTCTCCATCCAGCTTTGTTCCGTTGCTGGTAAGGAACTGCGTTCCTTTGGAGGAGGAGAGGCGCTCTGCGTTTTAGAGTTTCCCGTTTTTCTGTTCTGTTTTTTCCCCATCTTTGTGGTTTTATCTACTTTTGGTCTTTGATGATGGTGATGTACAGATGGGTTTTCGGTGTGGATGTCCTTTCTGTTTGTTAGTTTTCCTTCTAACAGACAGCACCCTCAGCTGCAGGTCTGTTGGAATACCCTGCCGAGTGAGGTGTCAGTGTGCCCCTGCTGGGGGGTGCCTCCCAGTTAGGCTGCTCAGGGGTCAGGGGTCAGGGACCCACTTGAGGAGGCAGTCCGCCCGTTCTCAGATCTCCAGCTGCGTGCTGGGAGAACCACTGCTCTCTTCAAAGCTGTCAGACAGGGACATTTAAGTCTGCAGAGGTTACTGCTGTCTTTTTGTTTGTCTGTGCCCTGCCCCCAGAGGTGGAGCCTACAGAGGCAGGCAGGCCTCCTTGAGCTGTGGTGGGCTCCACCCAGTTCGAGCTTCCCGGCTGCTTTGTTTACCTAAGCAAGCCTGGGCAATGGCGGGCGCCCCTCCCCCAGCCTCGCTGCCGCCTTGCAGTTTGATCTCAGACTGCTGTGCTAGCAATCAGCGAGATTCCATGGGCGTAGGACCCTCAGAGCCAGGTGTGGGATATAGTCTCGTGGTGCGCCGTTTTTTAAGCCGGTCTGAAAAGCGCAGTATTCGGGTGGGAGTGACCCGATTTTCCAGGTGCGTCCGTCACCCCTTTCTTTGACTCAGAAAGCGAACTCCCTGACCCCTTGCGCTTCCCACGTGAGGCAATGCCTTGCCCTGCTTCGGCTCGCGCCTGGTGCGTGCACCCACTGGCCTGCGCCCACTGTCTGGCACTCCCTAGTGAGATGAACCCGGTACCTCCGATGGAAATGCAGAAATCACCCGTCTTCTGCGTCGCTCACGCTGGGAGCTGTAGACCGGAGCTGTTCCTATTCGGCCATCTTGGCTCCTAGTACTTCCTTATTTTTAAGCCTGAGTAATATCCTGTTGTGTGTATATACTACATATTCTTTACCCATCCATTTGTTGAAAGACATTTAAATTGTTTCCATATCTTGGCTATTGTGAATAATGCCACAATGAACATGGGAGGATAGATATCTCTTCGTGATCCTGATTTCAATTCCTTTGAATATATACCCAGAATTGGGATTGATTGCTGGATCATGTGATGTTGGTCAAAGGGTACAAAGTTTTAGCTATGCAAGAAGAATAATTTCTGGAGATCTAATATACAGTATGGTGATGGTAGTTACAATACTTCATATTTGTATACTTGTAATTTGCTAAGAGAATAAATTAAATCTTCTCACCACTCGTGTGTGTGCATGCACACACACACCACACACATGCACAGAGATAATTATGTGAGATAATGGACATGTTTATTAGGTTGATTGTGGTGATCATTTCACAGTGTACACATATATCAAGACATTAAGCTGTATACCCTAAATATATACAATGTTTATGTGTCAATGATATCTTAAAGCTGTTATTTAAAAAGGGGTCATTACTGGCAAAAATACAATAAAATCATCACTTTCAAGTCCCATAATGGAGGTGATAAAAGTAATTTAGTAATATGTTCACATCCTTCAAATCAAATATAGAAAATTCGTTTGTGCTTTGATCCAAAATAGACCCCCCCAAAACCATTATACACAAAGATGCTCTAGGTTAGAGCTAGAGAAAACAGAAACTGAGAAAAATGAAACATTCCACCAAACTAGGGGAATGGCTAATTAAATTATGATGAATCCATTCAATGGAATATTATATAACAATTTAAAATAATATATTAACAAAATGAAGTACTCATGCCAAATTTTAAAAATAGCATGTGGAATTTATACACACAGTAAGACTTTGGCCTTATACAATATTATATAAATAAGTCTAGACTAATCACATTTCAAAGTATTAACAGTAACTGTCTCAACTCTTGTTAGTAACATTATGGGCACTCTACTCTTTCTTCTCTTGTTTTTCAAATTCTTTTCTACCAAGAGCACACATTACTCTTAAAACTAGAGTTTTTTAGAAAAATAGAAAGAATATATGCTAAGTAATCAGGGTTAAAATGTAGACTGGAGAATCCTATAGTGGCATAAGTCATGGGTAGTCATTAAACTCCAGGGAGACATTATGTTGTCTCTCTTAATAACTGTTTAGTACTAGATTTTATAAGATAAACTAAAACATTTTAATGATTCAGTCATTTGTTTACCAAAAGTCAATTAGAGCCTTAGGCCTTTGTCATTTTGTGATGTTCAATGAATGAACATAGTGTTTAAAATTGGTTTGATAAAGATAAAACTTGACATTAATGTACAGTAATCCATTTTCTTACTTTTCTTCAGAAAATATGTCATGCTCAATTTTAATTTCAAGAAAATATAGAGCAAATCTACATAAGGCAAAAACCCTAAAGATTTGTTTGCCCTAAGATATGTTGTGCTGACTATAATTGGATTGTCGGAATGCATCTGACATATGCTAATGAAAAAGTAAGAAAGCCAAAGTATGGTTTATTTGCTTATATTAGTCCTTTTTGTAGTCAAACCAGCAACACTTATTTACCTCCTTCTTAGATTCTAGGAATGAAAAATTACAAAACCACATCACCTTGGCCCTTAAGTAACAGATGAAAACTACTGACAGACGGCAGCGAATCATGTCTTCCAATGAATAGCAGAATAATGCTGGAAATTGGAAAAATTCAATGTCAAGGTGGGCCCAAGGATTCATAACAGACTTCATAAAAGAGGTGACAATTTGACATAGGTCTTGAAAGCAACGCAGTGGTAAAGAAGAGAGACCTTCAGATAAACTCACTAGATTATTCTTCAAAGTGGTGATTTCAGTTTCCATTCTAATCAGCCAGGAATGGGAGTTCCCATGTTCCTCCTGCTAGCCAATACTTGACATTGTCAGACTTTTAATCTGTGTTTGTAACATTGGACATCTTTTGCTATATTAACTTGACACTATATGTCTTCTCTTCAGTGAAATGCCTGAATATTATGCCCAATTTCTCTTGAGTTGTTTATCTTTTTCTTATTGACTTGGAGGAGTTCTTTTTGTAGTCTGGATGCTAATTCCTTGCCAGGAGATACACTCCCTCCTTTCTCAGAGCCAGACTGCCTGAATTGTACACGTCATAACAGTATGTCCTTAAACAAGTTACTTAGCCTCTCTGGCTTTAGTTTTCTCAGGAGTTAGATTGGGATAATAATAGTACCTACCGTAAAGAATTGTGAAGATGAAATGGGTTAATATATGGAGCACATGGAACTCTGTTCCGCTGGTAGTGCGTCATAATAGGGGCAGGCTGTCAATGTTGTTACTAACATTATTGCAACCTCCCACCCAGGTGAACGATTTTCTAACCCACCTTTTCCTGAAGGGTGCTGTCCTCTAGGAGTCCTAGCTTTAAGCAGGAATCTTAACTCCAACTTCGTACTTGATGTGGATCTGAGGACTTGTCTCCAGTCCTCATGCCGTATGCAACTCAGGATCTCCAGGACTGAGAAAGCCTTCAGGAGGCCCATGGTCTCCATCACCTGGCATGACTTTCCTGCTTCCTCTTCCTTTCTGGCCCTTACTTTTTAAAGGATTAATGTGAGCAGGTATTTGTTATTTTGTTCTGCAATGTTTCTGCATCTTTAACAAAAATTTTAAGAGAGAAGTTGCTTGTAAACTACTCAGTATGTCATGTTGATGAACGTAGAAGTCTTTGTCCATTCTTCCCTCTAGCATGGTGTTCTTTTCTTTATGAGAATTCATTCTTTGTTAAGCATATGAAATGTTTTCTCTCATATTGTGGGTATATTTTTATATGCAGTACAATTTCATAGTCAAATCTGACCACTTTGACTTTATTATTTCTGCTCTAGAAGCATGCTTAGAAAGATCCCTCTTACCCCAAGATTACATTAAAAATGTTTTTATTATTTGTATTTCCATCCTATATGTTATATGATACCAAATGTCATTTAGAATTGATTCTGACATGTGAAGTCAATTAGGGAATCTAACCCTTTTCTTCAAAAATGTTTAGCCAGTTATCACAACCCCTCTTATTGAGTGATCACTCTTTCCTTAGTGGACAAAGCCCTAGATGTGGGAATTTCCATCGACCTGGCTGCCAACTGTACTTTGTATTCCTTCTGCAGGGCATGGCCAGCAGTCACAGCACCAGTCTGCTGTTTCTCACACCTGAATAGGAAAGAACTTGCACTATTCCCTACTGGACAGACATTCATATTGGCAGAAAGAATATGAAAAAAAAGTGACATTTTAAATTACTTGTGCAATGAGTCCAAAAACATTATGACTAGAAATACCCAAATAATTATGGGCAGAAATAAACATAAATAAGAGGATATCAAGAGATTGCTGGAAGCCCCATTCTTATTGGTAGGAAGCAGTCAGGGCATCTTCGTTCCTCTCATTAGAACTATTACGTTTCAGAATGCAAATCCTAGCTCTGGTCCTCACTGAGTGTATAGAATGGTACAATTTATTTAACTTACCTTTGCTAATTCAGCAGACATTTTTCAGCACCTGTTATGTGCAAGTTGTTTACTGGCCTGTGAGTTTTAGGTACCTTAATCATAGCCTGCATTAGACAGATGTATGCCAGAGCCCTGCTCTTAGTAGAAGCTCAATACAAGATTGGATAGTTGCTGCCCACCTAACTCTTCAGACCCTCAACCAATTTAAATTGGATTAAACACACACAAAAAATTCAGAAACAAGACTGGCTTGGCCTTCTATGTATTTCCTTAACATTTTAGTGACACATAGAATTCCTTTCTTAAAGGGGATTAGCATTCTACATAGTAAAACATTTTAATTATAAAAATTATATTTATTACATGAAGTCTGTTCTTCCCAGGCAAGGTCTAATCCACTATACATGACTCATTTTCTTGTGAGTTTTACTTTAGCCTCAGCCTTTCAAAATTTCCGAGTGAAATATCATTAATCCTGGTGATTCATGGCCTGCGCCTGGTATTTTGCAGTCTTTAGTGTGAAATCCTTCATTTAGAAAACTGCAAATGGAGGTGAGAACCTAACATATTACTTTGGAACATTAATTATGAAACATAATTACAAACACAAATGCCTACAATGGTAATAATTTTACAGTTTGTAATTGTACCAGAAACCTCCAACTGGATGTACTTGTAACATCCTATGGTTGGATTCGTTTCAATGGATTGCAAAAGAGTGAGCCATCAGCAGGGTTCTCTGTAGATTAGTCTGATCATTAAGATCCTTGTCCTGGGTTACACATCCGAGGTAGCAGTCAACTGAGTCATTTTAGTCTAGGCCATCCAGGCCAGATTCACTTTTCCTCCCTCTTGAAGACCTGGAGGACAGTCTCTAAATGCAATCAGGCTTCATCTGTCAGTGGGCAGTGCCTAGTCCCTGAGATAGTGCCCTCCCGCAGGTTGTGGTGCAGGGTACTCGGAGGGTCAAAAACTTCTTGCTGCATTTTCTGTTTTCGCGCTGGACAGACTTGCCCAGAAGTCACCCTCTGAGAACACTGTTGGAGATCACTTCCTGGGCTTTCGAGTGAGGGAACCCCCATTGCACTCCCATCACACTCCCCATACCAGTGGGTCCTGTGTGGTCCAAAGGGGTCCCTGTCGCTCCAAACAGAAGAGAGTGTGGTGGCATCCTTATAGCATCATGTTGGGAGCCTTTGCAGAGAAACTGATCTGGATTTAAACTGTAGCTCTGGCATTCTCTCCCTGTGTGGCCTTGGGCATGCATCTTAACTTGCTTCATGTGTAAAATGGGTACATCGCAGGGTGCCATGAGGACTGGGGATGACACACATGGCCCAGCAGGAACTCAACAAATGGAAATTCACGTGATCGTCATTTCATATCACAGTACACAGCATTTATCTATCTGAGGCTTGATATTGAACACTCCTATGCTGCAGGCTCTGTGTTAGAAAAGGAAGACACAACAATGAAAGATGCAGTCTCTACCCTTGGGGAGTTTATGGTTTAGAGAGGAGAGAATTAGGAAAATGTGAAATTACCTATGAGCCAAGGCAGGCCTGAATAGTAGGGGCTCCTGAAACACTTAGGGAGCTCTTAGCCCAGCCTCAGATAGCTGCTGAGGCAAAAACCTCCTGAGAAGCTGATGGCCATGATTTTGAAGGAGAGGCAAGAGTCTGCCCCGGGAAGGCCGAAAGAGCCCTGTCTGCAGAGGTGGTGGCACTTGCGAGGCCTTGGGGATGGGTTACAGGTGTGCATGGCTCCCAAGGACCTTGGCACAACCACACAGCTGAGTCCTTTGTATGCTGCAGTGTAAGCTGAAGACTCTGAAATGGGTGGGTTGTGAACTGTTCAATAACCTATTTGATGCACTGTCCAAAGAGTTAATGAAATCTGAACAAGGAGGAAATGGGTCTCCAGGAGGAGAATAGCAGACACCACAATTCTCCAAAGAGCTTTTGAGTGGTGCTACTGGCCACGGGGAGATCAGTGCTCTAGGATCCAATAAACCTGCTCTCTCCACTGTACACACAACTTTCATATTTATGTATCTCCCAGTCCTAGCTCCAGAGAACGTCCCATAAGAACCAGGGTGAGCCAAGAGTTTTTTATAATGAAGTGGGAGTGGCAGCCGGTAAACAGAAAGCAGAATAGGTTTGAAAGCCTTCAGGCCAAATCAAAGAGAACAGAGAAAGAGAAAACCACAGGTCTCTGTGGGTAACTTCTGATATGACTCAAGTCTCTATCTTGTACACTGGAAATAGCAGCTTTTCTAAGAACATGATATCCTTTCTCATTTATACGGTATAATTGTTACTTTAGGGAATTGTCTTCACTCTATTTGGTTCTTGGTGGAATTTGATTTCATTATATGATCTTGTTTGTGGGTTTTGGGGCTTAAGCTGTAGACAGCATTCACTTATTCACACAATAAAATATAGAAGTTACGCTGATAAGATTTTGCTATAATTTTTATACAAGGTAATTAAATTCCAGCCTAATGTGCCAAGACAGAACATTATTATATACATTTGGCATTTGTTTAGCCCCAGAAAATTCACTCATCCAAGAAGTCCACTGATAGTGTACCCATCTAATATAATTACCCTATTATGCATAAAATAATGTGTTTAAAGAGTTAGGGAACCTGCTTTCTTCACTGCAGCAAGTTGTAAATGAAATGAAATCACCCTGGCTATAATATTAAAAGTATTGAGAACATTTTTTACTCAGTCTGCTCTAACTGAGTGAAGGCAAATTTTTCAGAACGACAGAATATTGTACACATTTCTTTGGAGGTAAGAATCTTAAGAACTTCTCATTAAAATGTTACTTAGGTTGATCTATATAACACATTCTAGGCCTCTCTAGTTGACAGCAAAGTAATACTGGTGCCTGTGTGTTGCATGTAACTGTGGCAGTTCAGGAATCAGTTCCAATTTGCTGACCATCACAGCATTCGTTCATTGCTAGATAAGGTTTCTCGTAGCACAATTTCTTGATTGACGGTCAGTCAGACTCATCTGTTTATCTTTAAAGCCTTCCTTCCACTTGACCTTCAAAATGCCTTCTAATGCTATATATACAAATAGAAGGTGAAGAAAAATCATTTGAACCAAACAACAGAGTAATTTCAAAACTATCTTTTTCAGGTTAAAAAAAGAGCAGAAATGATTAAGAAAAGAGCAACTATACCTTAATTATCTTGGCATTGCCCACAGTGCCTTGATCATGATATACACCCAAAAAGTAGTCACTGAATAAATGAATGAATCAGTTAATCATTTAGTTAATGAAAGAAATGTCTTCACGTTTTGCAAAACAGTTTGGTTAAGTAGTTGGTGGAAGTTCTGTTTATTGACAAATGACTAGAGGAAAAGATTACTGTAGATAATCAAGAGACTAGAAATGGCTACTTTCTGTGTGTGAAAGTGTTTTCTTGCATTCAAACTCTATTTCTGAGATAGGTCTACCTATTAGTGACTGCCAGACCTCAGAGAACCTTGACTCCTCTGCAGCAGGACCATAACCCTGAGTCCTAAAGGCTGGATGCTGTCCTCAGATGTGTTTGATAAACCTGTGCAATTATTTTTTGAGACTCTCAAATATTGAGAATTTTCATGTCCAAATTTCTGGCTTCTTTGGCATACTGCAATTTCTGGCAACACTAGACCCATATTCTTATGTGTCAATGAATGTCTGTGGTTAAGTAACACCCACCCCTTCTAGATGGCATGTCTTGCCTAGTTTTCTTCATTCTCACCAGCTGCTGCTAACTCCAACATGGCAGTCTAGTGCCAATCGATGTTTATTATCTTCTTTGCATTATTACTTCTCTTAAAGTAGGTGAATACTTCTATGGCCCCAGATTGCCTGGATAAGTACGTGTTGTCAGAAAAAATGAAAGAGAGCAAATTTTCATTTGGAAATGGGATAATCATCTCTTGCTGATTAATATGCAAATGAACCATGTGTGGGGAAAGAATACCATAAAGCTTGCTTCAATAATTCACTTTACTTGCATAATTCCTGTAAGCATTTGAATGTTAAACCCTTGCTTTACAAATATCTGTGAGGAAGGGAAGAGGAAATTGAGCCTGTTTGCAATACCAGAATCAAGTCAGAAAAAAAATAAAATGGAAAAATCTGGGAAAGTATAGACAGCAGGAGATAAAAGGAGAAAGGAAACATTTCCAACTCAAACTTCCCTTTTTTCTATATCCACTTCTTGCCAAATATTGTTTTTAATTATTCTCTCTCTTTTCATTTTCAGTTTTAATTATTCTTAAACTCTTCCCATCTTCTCCCCAGGAATTTTTTGGCTTATCAACAGCTGGAGGTAGGATGGGCTTATAAGGAAATGAAGTCCAACACCAACAATAGTAATCATGATAACAATATCTGTCATTTATTGCCCTTCTTCTCTCTGCCTGCCACCAGGTTAGGGGATTTAAATACATTAGCCTTAATCCTCTCGATAATTATTTAAGATAGCATTGCACCCCCATTCTTATAGATGACATGACCAAAGCTTACAATGATTAAGTAATCTTCCCCAGCTAAAAAGAGCAGAACAGAGATTCAAATTAGATCCACTTGATCGCACTATGCATGCTCTTTCCACTTGGACTTGCTTAATAGTTGGCTAATCATTCCAACTGGATCATTAACTCATGCTTAAAAAGATAATGACCATATCAATCTCTTTCAGAGTTCATTGATCTTGAATTAGAATTTACAAAAAAAATTCTCTTCCAATAATGTAAACCACAGTTAGTCTTTACTTTCCCAAACAAACTCATGAAAAGATTTTAAAATTTCAGAGCTTTCATTGCATAGTTTTCTAATATTTGAACATATATATTATTATATATACAGAATATTAGCTATAATAAATATATATTTCAAATATGTATATGAACATATATATCATTATATATAAAGTATATTAGCTATAATATTGTATTAGTTTGTTTTCATACTGCTGTAAAGAACTGCCTGAGACTGGGTAATTTATAAAAGAAAGATGTTTAATTGACTCATAGTTCAACATGCTGGGGTTGGCCTCAGGAATCTTACAATCATGGTGGAAGGTGAAGGGGAAGCAAGACACCTTCTTCACAAGGCAGCAGGAAGGAGAAGTGCCAAGGGAAGGGGGAAGAGCGCCTTATAAAACCATCAGTTCTCATGAGAACTCACTCACTATCAGGAGAACAGCATGGGGGAAACCACCCCCATGATTCAGTTACCCCCACCTGATCTCTCCCTTGACATGTGGGGATTATGGGGACTATGAGCATTACAATTCAAGATGAGATTTGGGTGGGGACATGAAGCCTAACCATATCAAATGTATACAAAGTTCTAGTGTGTGTGTGTGTGTGTGTGTGTGTATATATATATACACACACACACACACACATATCTGCAAATTTAATCTATGTATGGGATTTAAACTATTTTCTAATGAAAATACTTATTTGTTCGTTCATTCATTCAGAGCAGCAGTATAGAGATGAAAACGGAGAGGCAAAATCTGATCCTACCATTTACTAACTACAAGGTCTTGCTCAAACTACTTGCCTATCTTTATTTCAGTCTTCTTATTTTAAATTAAGATGAAGAATGCCAGCTTTATATGAAAAATAAATGAGTATATAGGGATATTCAGGTCATCTATTTCTTTTTGACTATGCTTGAATAGCTTGTTTGTTTCAAGAAATTTGTCCATGTCATGTAAGCTGTATTAATTGTCATAAAGTTCTTAATAACTTCTCTTATTATACTTTTAATGTGGAATCTGTAGTGGTATCACCCCTCTCATTCCTCTAAGTGGTAATTTGTGTCTTCTCTCTTTTTTGTGATCATTTTTGCCAGAGGTTTATTAATAGTATTTACCTTCTCAAAGAAAAAGTTTTAGGTTTCATTGATTTTTCCTTATTATTCTTCTATTTTATATTTTACTAATTTCCACTCAGATATTTATTATTTTCTTTGTTCTGATTACTTTGGTTTGCATTTGCTATTCTTTTACTCATTTCTTAAGGTTGAACCTGAGGTCATTGACTTCAGACCTTTCTTCTTCTTTTCTAATAGGGATTTTAGTGCTGTTTCCTTCTAATTATTACTTTAGTAGTGGCCCACAAATTTTGATATGTTTACTCTTCACTCAGTTAAAATACTTAAAAATTTTTCTTCTTATTTGTTCTTTGACACATGGGTTTTGTTTATTTTCCATCTATTTAGGGATTTTCCTGTTACTAATGCTCATTTAATTTCATGTGGTCAGATAGCTTACCTTGTGTAACTTGAATTATATTAAATTTATTTGTTTACAAATGTATTTGTTTATCTCTATTTTTAATTTTTATGGGTACCTAGTATATATGTTCAAATATTAGAAAACTATGCAATGAAAGCTCTGAAATTTTATATATATATAAAACGTAGTTATACATGTTATATATATACAACATAGTTATACGTGTTATATATATACAACATAGTTATACGTGTTATATATATACAACATAGTTATACGTGTTATATATATACAACGTAGTTATACGTGTTATATATATAACATGTATATATATAACATGTATAACAGTTATACATGTTATGTGTATAACATTGTTCATAACAGTTATACATGTTCTGTGTATAACATTTATATGTTATATACATTATATATGTTATATATAACATATATAACTATGTATAACATATATATAACTATATATGGGTTTTGTTTATATATATAATATATAATATATAGAAACAAAACCCATATATATTATATATTATTATATATAATATATTATATATAATATAAAACATACATATATATAAACCCATATATATATATATATCCCATATATATATATATGTATATATATGGGTTACATGAGATATTTTGATATGGGCATACAATGTGTAATAATCACATCAGGGTAAATGGGGTATCCAAAATTCTTTTACATTTATTGAGTCTTATGAACACGAATATGTTCTATTTTCGTAAATGTTCTGGGTGTAAAGAAGATACATGTGTGATACTGTGGGTTATAGTGTTCTATAAATGTCAATTTAGGTCAATAAGTTGACAATATCATTTAGATCAATTGATAGATAATGTCCAATTTTTCTATATGTTTACTGATTTTTTTGTATACTTGTTCTATCAGTTATTGAGAGAATGGCATTGAAATATCTGACTATAGTTATAGATTTTTTAATTCTTTTTGCAATTCTATTAGTTTTTCTTCATATATTTTGGAGCTCTGTTATTAGGTGCATAACTCTTTAGAATTATTATGTCCTCTTGATAAATTGACCCCCTTATCAATATAAAATGACCTTTTTTATTCGTGGTAAATTTCTGTACTCTGAAAACTACTTTGTTGACATTAATTTAGCCATTCCAGCTTTCTTTTCAATAATGTTAGCATTATTTTATCTTTTTTCATTTTTTAATTTTAACCTATTTGTGCCTTTATATTTAAAGTATGTTTCTCGGAGGCAGCTTATAATGTTGGCTTCTCTTTTATACAATCTGGCAATGTCTGCCTTTTGATTAATTGCTTCTATTATGATTATGATGTGGTTGTTTCATAAATGTGTTATTTTGTATTTTTATTTGTCCCATGTGTCCTGGTTCCATGTTTTTCCTTTTGTTAAAATCTTCTGTTGGGTTAAGTATTTTTTATGATTCCCTTGTATTTCATGTATTTGTTTCAAATTTTTGTTGTGTAATTTTAGTGGTTGTCTTAAAGTTTGCAGCACATATTTTTAACTTACCACACTAGAATGTCAAAAGAGATTATACCATTTTATATATAGTATAAAAACATGGAACATTTTTCCATTTTCCCTCTTAACCTTTGTGCTGTATTATAGCTTTTACTTCTATATATTATAGATCCTACAATACATTATTACTTTTACTTTTAACAATTATCTTTTGGAGACTTAAACAATAAGAAAAAATTTTTCTATTTTCCCATATAGTTGACATTTCTGATGCTCTTCATTCCTTTATGTAGCTCCAGACTTTCATCTGGTGTCATTTTCCTTCTCCTTAAATAACTTCCTTTCATATTTCTTGAAGTGCAGATTGGCTGGTTATAAATTCCTTTGTATGTATGAAATGTCTTTATTTTGTGCTCCCTTTTGAAAGTGAGACACCCTACTCTGTCTCCTCAGCTTGGGAGACCACTGGACTCTGCTGGGATCCCCTTTTTGCTATACTGACTGCAGACTTTCTCCAGGCAGTGAGCTGGGCAGTGACACCCTTCCCCCATTTGTGTCCTGCTTCTTAGGGGTGACTGCTTCCATTGTCAGATGTCCAGTGCCTTGAGAAACTATTTTATCTCTTTTACCTGTTTTTTAGTTGTTTCAGGCATAACAATTAATCAGGTCGCTCTTGCTCCATTTTGGTCAGAGGTGGGATCTCTGGGCTCTAGATGGAACTGGATTTTCCTGAGAGTTCTTCCCAGTCCACCCAGCTAGAACAGAGCGGCCTTCTCACTGGACACTGGGCATTTTGGTCCCAGGTCATAGAAGAGCAGCATCCTCACAGTGTGACCTCAGCTGAGCCTTCCACTGCGTACTTGGTTTCATTTTAAGTCCCCTCTCTCAAGACTTCCTAAATGTCAATTATCTGACCCACCTGGGCACTACATAGAATATTCTTATTGTTGTTGTACTGGATTTACAAACTCTAGAAGCACATTAGAGAAAATGAAGGGACTTTGCTAAATTTTAAGCTGTTCCTTGAGCTGCCCTCAATGTTATTTTATCCTTTTAGAGTCCAAGTTTTTCCATAGTTCCCCCTAACGCAAATGCACACTCATGCTCACTCTCTCTCACGCACACACTAAGACACAAGGGAGTATTGCTCAGGCCCTCAAAGACAGATCGCCACAGGGACTTCTGTGAGACACTTTCTCAGCACATATTTTCCAGCCATAATGTCTTCCGAAATCAAAGCCAACCTAACAACAGAATTTCCCCAGTAAAATCACAGCTAATTGACTCTGAATTTGTAAACGAGGCACACATCCAAATCCATGTGGGATCTTGTTGTGACCAGCGTGTGTTTTCCAGATTCTCTAAACTCACAGAGTGAAAAGAGGGTCATCTATAACAAATCCTCTCAGTAGGAGATCCCTTCCTTTCTCCAATTTGAGAGGCCCACAGAGTAATCATTAGACAAAGGATCGTTTGTGTCAAGTTTTAAGAAAATTTGGCCAAAGCGATTTAATCAAGCCCAACGGAAAGCTTTCTACGAGAGCCTGGGCCACCAGGAACTTTATTCTCGCCATCCGAGATAGCGGCTCAGCACCTCACATGGTAAGAGGACTATGTATTCCTTTCCCTTCGTGAAGGCTCTCAAGTTCTGACCTGGGACCTGAGAAATGTTTGAATTGGGTAACGTGAAAGGAGCTTCTAATCTACTAAACAGAACATCCATACATGTCATGTCCTGAGGATAAATGTTGGCATCTCCTGTGATTGAAGCTTAGCACTCCTGACCTCCTGAGGTGAAACTTCAATGAGCTTTAGCTCTTTCAGCCATGAGTTGTTTAGGCTTGAGCTAAGCACATTACCTGAGCTGGTTTCTGTTTCTTTATCTGTTGGTACAAAAGGGAGGTGACAATTTGCTTTCTAAGATCCTTTCCAGATCCAACAGACTTTGATTATTTTTGTTTAGGTACTGGGCAAAATTACTCTGAATATAATGCTGTTTAGTTCAGTAAATTCTAAGAAACAGACTAAAATGTGTATGACCAATATACTGGGTCCATGTGACAACAACAACAAAATCCAGATAACTGGCAAAATCTAAGCCATTGACTTAATTCTTTACACCTTATTGAGGCTAATTCATTAATAAAACAGGTCATCCATTGAGATTTCATGTGACCATAAATAATGAGTGGCAGAGTTAGAATAAAGTCTAAGATAGCTCAAAGTTTTTCATCCTGTGCAAAGCTTTCACTCTATATATTATTCCATAAAATAAAAATATGCCATATTAAAGGAAAGAGAGCTCAGAATTGAAAATGTAAAACTTCCCATCACTTCAATTTATCCTGTTAGCATCTCAAATTCAACGTTACATTAACATGGTTCATTACACTTAATGATTTCAATAGCAATAAAGACAATAGTTTTCAGAAATCACTTAGATCTTCCCATGGTCTTTAGAAAAAGATTTGGTTTACTTTCCTGCATAGATCCTTTCCAGGATTTTTAATCTAAACATGATTTCTTTGGCAATCCAAATTATGAAAATTATTAGCACAGCTAGCCACTACTGCATCCTTACAGTGATGAACAATAAGCTAATTAGGTGTGTAGTGGCATATTCTATCGGTGATTAACCAGCTGGGATGGAGTTATTTACACCTCTGGAAGCTGTGTAAATCTTACACTTCTGAAGCTGGCAATAGAATTTTAAACTTACACTTAAAAGGCTGATAAACACTTTAAATATAAGCTTTATTGTTGTTATAAAATTTCATTTTTTATGAGATTTGCATTCCTTTCATTGATTAAATACTCATATCTTCATACATTTATATGTTTGTGTTTATGTGTATATATCTGGTCCTGTGTAGGCAGAAAACATTAAAATGTGCAGATTCAAAGGAAATGAGAATTGATGCTAAACTTTGTGGCCTTGTTAATGTTTTGGATTCAAAATCATTTTGAAGATCTAAGGTCCCAATAGTATTTCATCTAGTAAAAATAAAACTGCGATTCCCTTAGCAACATGCTACAGTACAGGGCCCATAAAGTACATTTGAAAACCAAACGACTGTAAAGTGATCCACTATAATCAAATCTGTCTTGCTGTGCTAGATGATATGAACTGTTCTTTAATTGTTGTTTTGCAGAGATAAATAAAGCAAAACGCTAGATTCTGATTTATGTAGCATTTTACAAACCAAAATCCATTTTTAAAAAAATTTTGTATCGCATTCCCTCAGAAGCACCAGGGAGAATTGAGGACGTCATGCTGATGACTTTTATTAGTGTGCTGACATATAAATGATGCTACCTGTGAGGAGTGGGTAGGAGAATGGGCCTAAATGCAATTATCTCCCACTTCATGTCCAATCCTACTCATCCATCAGTGCAGCCCCTGGCTCCTTTATAGACGGGCCCTGCCTGCCCCACCTCATTTAGCCCTCCTCCTCCTGTAGTCCTAGCAACTGTTATCCTACCTTTATTTCATCATGTAGCCAGAGTCTGCCAAATGACACCTTTTCAGTCATTGTTAGACGAGTCTTGCTATGTTTTATCTTCCAAGTGTGGGTCTCTGGGAGCTTCATAAATAGCATCCACCAGGATTCTGAATAAATTGCAAATTCGGTCACTCAACGAGAAACACTCAATGTATCAGGCACGGTGCTGGGCAGAAGGAGACCCCAGGGAATGACACGGATATAAAGGTGTGTTCTCCTGGAGCCTGTATTCCAACTGGAGGAGACAAAAGTAAACAATAACCCGAGAGGCTGTGCAGTGACTGAGCGCGGGCCCCTCCAGAGTTACTCAGTGGGGCAGGCACTGCAGGGTTGCTGAGCCGGGTCCGGGCTCCCTTAGGAGGATCTGCTGCAGTGAGATGTGCGGCCCAGAGGAGCAGAGGAAACTCTTTTCTGCACATAGGTGCTCTCAGGTGGAAAAGGGAGAAGCTGTGCCAGATTTATCAATCAGGTGAATTAGCTCACCTCCCCTGGAAAGCAGTGAGTAAGGGGTAGAGAAGAGGAAGAAAAGGGGCTGGGAGGGTGGGCTTCCTGTCATGGAAGATTTATCAGGAGTGGAGACCTTCCTCCTGCTGCAGTCATGCGACACTTAATGACTGGGATACCCTCTAAGAAATGTGTTGTTAGATGATTTTGTCACTGTGCAGGTAGTGCACTTACACACACCTGGACGGGACAACCCCACTACACACCTAGGCCCTGCGGTGTAGCCGATTGCCCCCAGGAAATAAACCCCTACAGCAAGTGATCGTCCTGAATACTGTAGACAATTGTAACACAATGGTAAGTATTTGTGTATCTAAACATAGAAAAGGTGCAGTGAAAATGTAGTATAAAAGATAAAAAATGGTACACCTATATAGGGCATTTGCCATAAGGCTTACAGGACTGGAAGTGGCTCTGAGTGAGTCAGTGAGTGGTAAGTGATTGTGAGGGCCTAGGGTATCACTGTACACTACCAGGGACCTCATAGACACTGTGCACTTAGGCTACACTCCATTTATACAAAATAGTTTTCTTCAGTAAAAAATTAACCTTAGCTCACTGTAAGTTTTTTACTTTATAAACTTTCCAATTTTTTAACTTTTGACTCTTTAGTAAAAACAGCTTAAAACACAAACACATTATACAGCTGTACAAAATATTTTTTCTTTACATCCTTATTCTATAAGCTCTTTATTTTTAAAATATTTTATTTCTTTTTACTTTTTAAACTTTGTTGCTAAAAACAAAGACACAAACATACACATTAGCCTGAGCCCACACAGGGTCAGGAGCATCCATGTCACTGTCTTCTACCCCCACTTCTTGTCCCACTGGAAGGTCTTCAGGGGCAATGGCAGGCATGAAGCTGTATCTCCTGTGATCACAGTGCCTTTTTCTGGATGCCTCCTGAAAGAACAGGTGTCACACTAACTGAGCTCCTGTCACACGGAAGGAAACACCAGGGGTAGGAAAAAAGTTCCACCCTAACATCCACAAATAGATGTGTTTCATGAGGACAAGGAGCAAGTTCTTACACTTCTTGATATTTACATGCCTAAGATTTGTTGTCCTAATTAACATATTGTACCCCTTTTATTCTAATCCTAAGGTCCAAAAGAAAATAAGTTAGATATGTTTTTTCAATAGCCAAAACAGAAATATGAATGCAATTGTTATTATGACATTTCACATTCATTCAGGGGGAAACTCAGCATCTGCAAAGCCAGAAGACAAAGTCTTGCTTTTCACCATTCAGTAAGAGCCAATGGATCTTGAAGTGAACAGATTTGGAAAAGTGACCTGAACAGCCAAGATCAGCAAATAACAAGGAACACAAAGAAAAGCTAGTAAGAAAGTAGGAAAATCAATATGGAAATTGACCACTAATATATCCATAAGTGTATATACGATTTTAAACAACAGATCTGAATCTGCTGCACACCAGGGCTGCTGTGACGCATAGCCCTGGCAGGTGCTTTCTCATTGTCATCTGTCTGACCGACTGGGCAGAGCCCAGCTCCAGTGGCTACATTCAATGTTCATGCACCCTCTGGAGCTGTGCCAGGCTGTGAACCTATTTACACCCTATAATGTTCTAACTTTACTGGAGAAAGGACTGAAACAGTATGGTTATCATTCTCTAGTTATGGGACTACCCATTCATTTCCCTGACAGAAGTGTAAATACTTGAGTGCAGGCACCATCTCCGCTTCACCTTTGCACCCTTTTGAACGCACAACACACTACAGGTGTAGAGCGAGTACTCAGTAAGTGTTCATTTAATGATCCAAAGCTTTCACGGTCTGTGTAACTCTCTATAGCTGAACTTCCAAAACAGTAGCCAATATCTATACATGGTTAATAAGCACTTGAAATGAGGTTAACCCAAATTGTAAAATACAAGATTTTGAAGACTTCAGATGAAATAATGCAAAACATCTCATTAATAATATTTATATTGATAATGTTGAAATGGTAACATTTTGGATATATTAAGTTAAATAAAATATATTATTAATATTATGTTTTCCTGTTTGTTTTTACTTTTTACTTTGGCTTTGAGAAAATTTAAAATTATATGTGTGGTTGGTGTTTGTGATTTACATTAGATTTCTTTTGGATAAGGACGGCCACCTTAGACAAAAACCTGGATGGTAATTTGACTTAAAGTTTATTTATTTATTTATTTATTTATTTATTTTGGTAGCCATACTCATAAGTTAGCACTACGCCAATGGAGTGTAAAAGTTTTGCTGCCATTAGAACTTGCATAATAATTTCACTGTGGCATATAAAGAATATTTGTATTGCAATAATAACATGATTAAGAATATCAATAGTCAGTATTACCTGTACGCCTGATGAACTTAGAAGTAAATTATGCTCTGTTCGACAATGTGGATTGTCTTTCCCTTCTGAAGTTACCCTCAGATATAGTCAAATCAGTTATGTTTTGGATGTCCTTCTAAAAATGATCACTGAGGTCATGCAGTGGAAGGAATTCAGATTTTGAGGAGCTGTGCACATCTGAATGTTAGACTCTGAAAGAAACTCGTGGGTGTGGAAATAAGTGTTTCTGGTGCTGCATTAGTATAAAAATCCATCACATCTAACTTTGCACACTATTTAAAAATTATAAATCAAGATAATGTATTTTACATATTCACTTTTAAATAATTGCTGATAAAATGAAAAATATTCATTAAGGGTAAAAGTAATTTTACTTTATGGAATTGACAAATATAATTGCTTTAAAATTAGTTTTTGAGGTTTTTTTTTTTTTTTACTTGACCAAATCTTGGCTTTTGGTTAATTTGAAAATAACATGATAGAAGCATACCTGATGAAAAATTATAAGATGTGATAAAATTACTTGAACCATTTTTGTCACTGTTAGTCATAGTCTTAGTTAAATTTTGTAATATACGTCACATAGGAACATCTTCCTTAAAATTTTTCAATATTTTGAAAAACATCCCTCTCAAATATTTTTAACAAGTGAGAATATGCAGTGTTTAGTTTTCTGTTTGTGCGTGAATTCGCTTAAGATAGTGGTCTCCAGCTGCATAGATGTTGCTGCAAAGGACATGATTTCATTCTTTTTTATGGCTGCAAAGTAGTCTATGGTGTATATGTACCACATTTTCTTTATCCAATTCACCACTGATGGGCAACTAGGTTGATTCCATGTCTTTGCTATTGTGAAAAGTGCTGCAATAAGCATGTGACTGTATGTGTCTTGTTGGTAAAATGATTTGTTTTCTTTTGGATATGTGCCCATTAATGGGATTGCTTGGTTGAATGGTAGTTCTGTTTTAAATTCTTGGAAAAATCTCCAAACTGTTTTCCACAGTGGCTGAACTAATTTACATTCTCACCAACAGTGTATAAGTGTTCCCTTTTTTCTGCAGTCTTGCCAACATGTATTTTTTTTTTTTTACTTCTTAATAATAGCCATTCTGACTGGTATGAGATGGTATCTCGTGGTTTTGATTTGCATTTCTCTAATAATTACTGACATGAGCATTTTTTCAGGTTTGTTGGCTGCTTGTGTATCTTCTTTTGAGAAGTGTCTGTTCATGTATTTTACCCATTTTAATGGGTTTACTTGTTTTTTGCTTAATTGTTTAAGTTCGTTATAGGTTCTAAATAGTAGACCTTTGTCAGATTCATAGTTTGCAAATATCTTCTTCCATTCTGTAGGCTGTCTGTTTACTCTGCTGATAGTTTCTTTTGCTGTGCAGAAGCTCCTTAGTTTAATTAGATCCATTTGTCAGTTTTTGTTTTTGTTGCAATTGCTTTTGAGGACTTAGTCATAAATTCTTTCCCAAGGCCCATGTCCAAAATGACATTTCCTACATTTTCTTCTAGGATTCTTATAGCTTGAGGTCTTATATTTAAATTCTCAATTCATCTTGAGTTAATTTTTTTGTATAGTGAAAAGTAAGGGTCCAGTTTTATTCTTCTGCATATGACTAGCAAGCTATTCCAGCACTATTTATTAAATAGGAAGTCGTCTATTTGTTGCTTATTTTTGTCAACTTCATCAAAGATTAGATAGCTGTAGGTGTGTGGTTTTATTTCTGGGTTCTCTATTGTGTTCCATTGGTCTGTGTGTCCAGCTTTGTACCAGTAGCATGCTGTTTTTGTTACTATAGCCTTGCAGTATAGTTTGAGGTCAGATAATGGGATGCCTCTGGGTTTGTTCTTTTTGTTTAGGATTGCTTTGGCTATTCGGCCTCATTTCTGGTTCTATATGAATTTTAGAATGGTTTTGTTTCCAATTCTGTGAAAAACGACATTTGTAGTTTGATAAGAATAGTGTTGAATCTGGGGATTGCTTTAGACAGTATGGTCATTTTAATGATACCAATTCTGCTTCTAATCCATGAGCACAGAATGTTTTTCATTCATTTGTGTCATCTATCATTTTTCTAGCAGTATTTTGTAGTTCTGCTTGTAGAGATCTTGCACCTCCTTTGTCAGATGTATTCCTAGGTATTTTCTGTATGTGGCTATTGTAAATGGGATTGTGTTCTTCATTTTGCTCTGTTTGAATGTTATTGGTGTATAGAAATGCTACTGATTTTTATACATTGATTTTGTATCCTGAAACTCTGCTGAAATAGTTTATCAGTTCCAGGAGCTTTTTGGTGGTGTCTTTAGGGCTTTCAAGGTATAGAAAACCACAAAGAGCGAAAGTTTGACTTCCTTCCCTATTTGGATGCCTTTTATTTCTGTCTGTTGTGTAGGCACTATTTTAAAAGGAGTGTTATCTTCAATGTATTTGAGTGACTAGAAATTACATTTTAATTGTTATTAAAATCATAATAAGTTTTTATGAACATTTACTTGGCTGAATTAGAAGCAAAGAGAGAGGGTATGACCTGTGTAATACCTTGTGTTTATTTTCTTTTTCTCTGAATTTCTGTCTTCCCCTTTTATTAAGTAAATAAGATACAAATGATGAGCATCATTTTGTTGCAGGCATTAGGTGATAATCTAGGAAGGTCTGGAGACAAGACGAGGTGTTCTCAAAGCCACCGGCAGGCTGCCCTATCACCAGGCTAGCATCGCATTTCAAGGGGCACAGTCGTCTTTCTGAACAGTTAACTTGTATTGCCTGTTTCAAATGTGACAGTGTGAGTTGGGTTCTCCCTGCCTGACTAGCTTTTTAAAAGATTTTTAAAGAGGGATGGGCAAGATATAATTTTTTAAAGAGGGATGGACAAGATATAATCTGATGGGAAAGATCTACTCTGGGAAAAATACAAAAATTCTGTGTGTTTAATTTTAGCAGATTAAGAAATCACTGAGGAAAGGAACAATTCCAGAGTCAAGATTTTTTTTTTTTTTATTCCTCAAATCTGCCACTAGGTTCAGCCTGTTAATTTAGAAAATTGATGACAGATCTATTTATAGAACTGCAAGTATTTTTGTAATGGTAATGGTTTTGTATAACCCTTGAAAAAATATTTCGTCTGGCTTCCCATTAATTAATGGTTCCAAAGATGAATATGGGGTCGAAATGAATCTAAATGAGCTAGTAAGTTTTTTTATGATATGCAAGCACAGGAAAGTTACAGGATGAGAGCATTTTCATCTTTCATATATTTGACAGGGAAACTAGAATATCAAAGCTTTTGTCATTGAACTCTACAGTAGTTATTCAGTTTGATTTCAACAAATGTAAAATTAGGAGTCCAATATATTGGAATTTGATATTATTATAAATTGTAATATATTTATATATACTGGGTAATGTGAACTAATTTTACTTATTTAGGTCTGTCTTTTTCTCTTCTATTATTTGGACAGTGCTTCATAAAATTAGTAAGATAAGGTCAAAATATATTTCATATTATTTCATGTAAAATGTAATATACAAAATTAAAATCAGAAAATATATGTGATCCTAAAATATATTTAAAATTTGTATTGTCTAGAAATACACTCATGAAGGAGAGCTGTGTTCTTTCTTTGAATGGCTACTTTCAGTTAACTTTTCCTTAGATAGACTCGGTCAAGTCCATCACTTGAATAAACTGTAAAATAAGATGGAAAACATTGTATAAAAGAATAAGCTAATCACAAGTCATGACTGAGCTATTTTGTACATAATTGCATACATGAAAATGTGTACATAGTGATAAATATAAACGTGGGGGGAGATACAGCTCCAAGGCAAGGAAATATTGACTTCAGAGTATATAATCGGATTTTTACTACACTTACATTACATGCTAACAAAGCTATTAGCAACATCATTTACAAAATCTACAGGTTCTAAGGGTTGATGATGACATAGGTCATCGTGAAGTACCCTTTTACAAAGTCACAAAAATATTACGAATCTCTTTTGCAGCCTTCTTCAATTCATAGTTGTTATTAACAGGAGCTTAAAAGCAAATTAACCAAAAGAGAGAGAGAAACTATTAATAATTCCACACTTGTCTCTTGTAAGGCATACTCTGGGTCCTTTTCACGTGAGTATAAAAAGTGAATGCAGAGAAATAGAAAAAAATGAAAATACATTGTATCCAGGTGGTTGTTGCAGAAAGTTGATGTAATCTTGATTGAGAGAGAGAGACAGACAGACAGACGGACAGAGATGGACATAAATGCAGAGATATTCTTCTGAAGCAGAGGACAATATGTAATTTAGAGAGTTACTACTCTTAAAAATTCTTACATTTTACATTTTTACATTTTATCTTTTTCTATTCAACCTAATAAATATTTTATTAGTGAGGGTTTTTCTTTTTTCACATTCACTTTTAAAATCTCTATTTGCCTCTCCATTTTTATGTGACACTGTATTTAGTGTATGAGTAAGACTCAAATTCAGGCACCTTCCCATGATTTGCTATACATGGCATCCATTTACTCCAGTCAAATACATTCTTGAGAGGGCCAGTGTGTTTATGTCACTGTGTGTGTATGTGTGTGTGTTTATTTTTATCCCTTTCTCTTAGAAAAATGTTAGCATTTTCTGCACACTTTTAGGAATGCTAAATGTTCCCCCTTCCCTCCTTCCACTACATCTGATTTGGAGTAATATTCCTTTACTTTTATTTAGTAGGCATAATGCGATCAGCAAACATTCTACTTTTTACATGTTTTCCTACTCTCCTACCCCTCATTTTTACTACTGTAGCTACACTACCAAAGCATTATAGCCATACTTACCCTCCTTGCTTCTTTGTAACTGTCACTTCTTCCTAGTTTCATAAGTAAATATATACCTAACCTTCACCATCAATGCTTAAGGCAATGCCTCACCAGATAGTTTGGTTTTCTGAATCTTTTCCTCTAGTAGAATCCTCAAGAAGTTTTCATGAGACCAGTATTCCCTCATTTGTTAAGTTGTTTCTTAACAATTTGTTTGAGACTTCATATTGGAAAGTTATTATGGCTGAGTATAAAATCTTTGGCTCAAATTTTTTTTCCTCAAGTTGCCCAATTTCTTCTGGTAGAAAGTATTATTGTCAAAAAGCCTGATGACAACCTTTATGAGTGAATTGGTAATTTCGCCCAGATTTTATTTTTATTTTCAGTGAAGGTCAGTAACTTTACTAAAATATGCCCCAGTGTTGGTCTTTCAGGATTAAATTCTCCAGTAATACGGCCTATCCTTTTAGTAGGTAGTGTCCAGTCTTTTGGGGAGGGAGTTGTCTTGAGTTTAATATGTCAGCACTATTCTGTTCCGTTGCTTTGAGCTTCTTGTTTGGGGCTATATGCATGTTGAGTCTCTTCTGCCTATCTTCATCTGTCATTTTCTCTAAAACACTTCATCACTCTTTTGATTTTCAATTTTTAAAAAATCCTCTTTTTTGTCTCCTGTGTTTCTTAAACTGTTGTCTGTTATGATTACTTTGTCTTTTGTTCCTTCCAATTTAGGCATCATTTCCTGATATTTATTTTGCATTTTAAGTTCTTTCATTAAGTTCTATGTTTTTAATGTCTTCTATCATTTAAAAAATATGTGATCTTGTTTTGAAGCAGTATCTTGCAAGTTCTTCTATTGAGGGGCATGTCTTGCTAGCAGGCTTTTATTGTCTGTAGAGACATTATGATATTTCTTATTCTCTCCTTTTTAAAATAATAATTTTGTAAGGGATTTGACAACACTCTTTTTCTATCTGCCTACTCTTTTAGAAGGGAGGATTGGTCAAGATAACTTTTCTGGTTCACAGCTCCAGAGCCTCCTCTTCTATTGCCTCTACAAAGTGGTTTTTAAAATGACCTCATATTTCTAGGATCTGCCTTCTCTTCTGTCTTTCCCTCCTTTTAGCTGGATTTTCTCTTTCTTTTACTCCTCTGGACCTGGGCAGCTCCGCTCGATTTGGATTTTATCCCTTTGCTTTCCTCAGTGGAGAGATTTGTACTAGAAGGGAAATGGGGGATTTTAGGCTTAAGATCCTTTTCAGACCTCGTCACCACCCGTGAACTGGAGCGTGCACAACCTCTCCCAGCTTCAAATATGGCATCTGTTGGTGACGTTCCCATTCTGGAATCAGGAGATGGCTGGCTACTCTCCTCTGCTGCCTCTAGCACCGTTGCTGTGGTCACATGGGTCTTAGTGGTCAGAGGTCTGTCCCCATTGCCTTATATTTTAAGGACCATGAGTGTACCTTGCACACAATTTCGATGTAGTTCTTCTGTATATAGGTTTTGGTTTTGCTATCCTAGTTGCTTTACCTGTCTGTGTTAATGAGGGGATTTGGAGAGATTAAAAAGCAATATTGCTTTCTTATTTCCTTAATTCTCCCCCTTTCGCCTATAGAAACAGACTCCCAGGCTAAAAGCAGCAGATAACAAATATCAAGTCTTAATTTTTCCAAGATAAATGAAAGCTCAGCCTCTTCAACTAAAGCAAAGTGAAGACCACAGTCATTTCCCATGTCTTTGGCGAGATGTCTTCGTATTGGCAAAAACAGGAATCCTTAGAAGATCCTAATTACAGGAAATAATTACTCACAGACAAGTTGCCCTTCATTTAAACTGTCAGGGTAACAATGTAAAGAAAACATAATACTTTCAGTCTCTACCAATCCAGGAATGGTGTGATCTTAAGGCTGACTGCCAAGAGCACAGGCCAGCTGTTACAGAACTTAATTAAAACAGTTTTGATAATTAGCACAACTTGTATATGAATGTGAGAGTATTTCTAATGTGAATACACCGGTCACCTTGTCAGTTACAGGGAACAGAGGAAAAAATCCTATGACATATGGAGTTGTGAACCAGTTATTAAAAAACAAGCAAACTTAGAATTGCTGTTGAACTATCCTCCATTCTTTGCCACCCTCATAAAAACAATAAAAATAAAACCAAACACGCAGAGACCCCTCCCAATCTGATTTTTGCAAGTAGTTTAAGAAGCAAAAGCTGTTATGCTTTGTTAAAAGTCCTTTTGGTTGCAAACAAATAGAAAGGGACCCAGACCGGTTTGAGCGGTGAGTATTCCACAGAGCGGCTGCCTGAGTCCAGCAGCAGCGTTCGCATCATGGTGCTGCTATTTCCCTGCGACGACACACAGCAATCTTTCTTAATTTTGTCATATTTTCACTTTTATTTACTAAGGAATGACAGATCACCGAGAAAATCTTTTTTTTCCTCCTTTCTATGTGTTTCATTCTGAAAGGTCCATTGCTCTCCACTGATACTTTGCAGTCTGAGCTTAGTGTTATAACTGTTCTAAAAATGTCTCATTTGGAAGGAAGAGCTGTAGCCTGCTCTTTATTGCCCAGTACCTCTAACAGCCCTGCCACCATCAATCAGCAAAATGTCTACAATTAACTCTTGCTGTTGTCTCCAAAGCCTGGTTGCTGCCCCCACGGCCTCAGCACCCTCTGCCTGCACCTCCCTCCATGGCTTCATGACACGATCTCCTCCTTATCTTGCTCTTCAGAGGCTGTGTCCCTGTGCCTGCCCGTCCTGGGCAGGTGGAGCCCAGTGGATGGGCCTTGGACCTCTTCTTTCTCCCCAAAACACTCTCCATGGTGAGCCATCACTTTAGCCCAGATTCTCTCCCAAGTTCCAAAGTCACACCTCCAGACACCTCCCGGGCACCAGCACTCCACTTCTGTGTGCACAGTAGCCACTGCAAAGCTCAGTGTGTCCATGATGCAATCATAACCTCGCAGCTCCCACTCTGCCTGCCCCTCCTAGAGCTGCCCTCTCCCATGTTGGCCCCCATCTGGGTTGATCGACAGCACTGTGCACACAGTACCCAAGATAGAAGCCAGGAGTTGTCCTTGGCCGTGGACACTTCCTCACTCTCATGTTTAAATCCTTTATTTCAACCATTTCCTTCTGTTTCCTAAATGTCTCGTGAATGTCTGTGCCTTCCCATCCTACTGACCCTGTAAGGTTAAGCCACCTTCCTAACTGAGCAATGCTGGGCAGGAGATGTTTGTCTCGCTCCAGGCTTGTCTCTTCCCAGCTCATGGCTCCCACCGCAACCTGATCGTTCATTCTTGAAACAGATCCCATTTCTTATTCTCACAATTAGCGTCTTTCCATTTCCTTTCTGATGAACTCTAAGCTCCTGACAGCCTCCCTCCTGACCTGGCTCCTTCCCTGAAGTCCAGCCTCATCTCTCGCTGTTGCCCCACCTTCAGACCCAGCTTCAGCTGTCCCGAATTCTGCAGTTCCCCAAGGCCACCATTCACCATGGTTTCCATCATGGTCCCCTGCCTTTGCCTGGGATGCCCTTCCTGCCTCAAGGGAGGCACTGTCGTTTCCTCAGGGGAGCCTGCTCCCTGTTATTCCGAGTTAAGCATCAGAATAATGTGTTTACTTTTCATAATTTTATGATAACATTCTCTTATAAAGATCAATTTTAATATCCCAAAATATTTGATTTCTTCTTTTGAGAATTCTGACTTTTCAAAAGTAGTGATGCACAGCCGACCACGGACCCCCTGCTGGGAGGCAGTCTCCGAAGCTGCCAGTGGTCTTCGGCCACACACATTCACTTGGCCAGCCAGACACACACCTGCTGCTGCCACAGTGGGGCAAGTGCACTCAGACCATCTGAAGGAAGGTGGGGCTGAAACCCACTGACTCATTTCTACTTTCAACAGGGATTTATTGAGCACCTACTATGTGCTCAATAATATACAGTACCTGTTGAATTGGGAGTTTCATGAGAAATAAGGCAGCCTTAGTCCCTGCCCTTGCTGTACTCTAAAAACAGCTAAACACATGATGTAATAATTGCCGTGTAGGAAGAGAACATCAGTGTCTCTGGCTGAGCTCTTTGCTACCTCACAGTCACACTGTCTGAAATGTGTGCTTCTCTTACTGCTGAAGGCTGCCGAGATAAAAGCAGTCACCTCAGGGTGAGAGTCCAAGGATTCAACCGGAAGAGAGCAGCAGCTAGGGACCCCTTGGTGGGAATGTGGTTCGTGAGGAACTGGAGTTCTGACGAGGAGCAGCTTCGAGGCATTTGCTTCTCACTAACAGGAGTGTCCCAGGAAACACCGAAATCCATCTAAGCAGGCGACATGCCAATTTTAATTACCTGCTCCAGTGAGTCATCAGTTATTACATGTAATGAAATTAACTGTAGCACTGAACCCACAGTTATGTGGATTATTTGCCATTTTCCTCACAGTATTCAACATTTTAAAAATCTGTGGCAAGTCTGAGATTTAGGAATAGTGAAATTTCCTTCGATTTGTCCTGGATCATGATTTATTTATAATATGTTAACATTGAATTGGCTTAAATAATTTCCTGCTTCTCTTTCTTTGAGATTTCCATCCTATTAAGAGCAGAAAGGAGCAATTTTTGTGAGTATCCCAGTTCTGATGGGCCACCATGCTCAGCAACATTTCCTAATTTTTTTTCATATTTTTACTTTGACTTACTGGAGAATTGCAATGCATGTAGACCTTATTTTCACAAAATGCAAATGTTAACATGCCTATTTAGCTCTCCCAGCCATGTTCCTTTTCTTGGGCAATTGTCTTCTTTTAAATCTCAACTTTTATTTAGATACAGGTGGTACATACGCAGATTTGGTACCTGAGAATATTGCATGATGCTGGGGCTGGGAGTAGGAATCCCGTCACCCTGGCCATGAGCATAATACCCGATGGGTAGTTTTTTAACCCACCCCCCTCCTTCCACCCTCCAGTAGTCCTCAGTGTCTCTTGTTTCCTTGTTCATGTCCACGTGTGCTCAGTGCTTAGCTCCCACTTATCAGTGAGAACATGCAGTATTTGGTTTTCTGTTCCTGTGTTAATTTGCTTAGGATAATGACCTCCAGCTCTATTTACGTTGCTGCAAAGGACATGATTTCATTCTTCATTATAGCTGTGTAGTATTTCATAGTGAATATGTACCACATTTTCTTTATCCACTCCACTGTTGATGGGCACCGGGGTTGACTCCATGTCTTTGTCATTGTGAATAGTGCAGTGATGAGTATGCAAGTGTATGTGGTTTTTTTGGTAGAACAATTTATTTTCTTTTGGGTATATACACAGGAATGGGATTGTTGGGTCAAATGATCGCTCTGCTTTAAGTTCTTTGAGAAATCTCCAGACTGCTTTTCACAGTGGCTAGACTAATTTACATTCCCACCAACAGTGTATAAGTGTTCGCTTTTCTCTGCAGCCTCACCAGGATCTGTTGTTTTTTGACTTTTTAATAATTGTCATTCCAACTGTGTAAGATTGTGTCTCATTGTGGTTTTGATTTGCATTTCTCTGATGACTAGTGATGATGAGCAATTTTTTGTAAGTTTGTTGGCTGCTTATATGTCTTCTTTTGAGAAGTGTCTGTTCATGTTTTTTGCCCATTTTTAAATGGGGCTGTTTCTTTTTTGCTTGTTCAATTGTTTAAGTTCCCTAGAGATTCTGCATTTTGTTGAATGCATGGTTTACAAATATTCTCTCCCATTCTATAGTTTGCTTGTTTAATCTATTGGTAGTTTCTTTTGCTGTGCAAAATCTCTTTAGTTTAATTAGGTACCACTTGTCTATTTTTGTTTTTGTTGCACTTGCTTTTGGGGACTTAGCCAAAAATGCTTTGCCACAGCCAGTGTCAAGAAGAGTATTTCCTAGATTGCCTTCCAGGATTTTTATAGTTTAAGATCTTACATTTAAATCTTTAATCTATTTTGAATTAATTTTTGTATATGGTGAAAGATAGGGGTCCAGATTCAATCTTCTAGCTAGCATATGACTAGCCGGTTATCCCAGCATTATTTATTGAATAGATAGTCCTTTCCCCATTGCTTGTTTTCATTGGCCTTGTTGAATATCAGATGGTTGTAGGGTATGCAGCTTTATTTATGAGTTCTCTCTTCTGTTCCATTGATCTATGTGTATATTTTTGTACCAGTACCATGCTGTTATGGTTACTATAGGCTTACAGTATGGTTTAAAGCTGGGCAATATGGTGCCTCCACCTATATTCTTTTTGCTTAGAAGCGCTTTGGCTATTCAGGCTCTTTCTTGGTTCCATATGAATTTTAGATTTTTTTTCTGATTCTGTGAAGAATGACATTAAAGTTTAATAGGAATATCATTGAACTGTAAATTGATTTGGACAGTATGACCATTTTTACAATATTGATTCCTCCAATCCATGAACATGAGATTTTTTTTTATTTGTGCCACCTCAGCAGTGTCTTATAGTTCTCCTTGTAGAGATCTTTCACCTCAAGAAAACATCAGACAAATATCCCTCATGAACATAGACACAAAATTCCTCAACAAAATGCTAGTACATTGAATCCAGCGGCACATCAAAAAGTTAATACACCATGATCAAGTAGGCTTTATTTCTGGGATGCAGGGCTGGTTCAACATATACAAATCAATAAATGTGATTCAGCACATAAATAGAATCAAAAGCAAAAAGCCTTTATTGAGATATGGTTATCTCAATAGATGCAGAAAAAGCTTTCAATAAAATCTGACATCCCTCCATGATAAAAACCTTCAACAGACTAGGCATTGAAGGAACATTGCTCAAAATAATAAGAGCCATCTATGACAAACCCATAGCCCACATCATACTGAATGGGCAAAAGCTCAAACCATTCTCCTTGAGAAGTGAACAAGACAAGAATGCCCACTCTTACAAATCCTATTCAACAGAGTATTGGAAGTCCTAGCCAGAGCAATCAGGCAAGACAAAGAATTAAAAGCCATCCAAATAGGAAAAGAAGAAGTCAAACTATCTCTCTTTGCTAACGATATGATTCTATACCTACAAAAATCATAAAGACTCTGCTAAAAGGCCCCTAGAATTGATAAACAACTTTAGTAAAGTTTCAGGATGCAAACCCAATGTACAAAAATCAGTAGCATTTCTATACGCCAGCAACACGCAGGCTGAGAGTGATATCAAGAGCACAATCTCACTTCCAGTCACCGTGAAGAAAATGAAATACCTAGAAATACAGCTAACAAACGAGGTGGGCCATTCTTTGATGTTTCATACAAACCACTGTTTTAAGCAAACCACCTTGTTGTGCAATTGTGAGAGGAAAATGCAGAAGGAGATTGGCTGCAAATATTAAACCCAGCATAGTTAGGATTTATTTTCCTTTTGAATTTCAAGTTTGAAGCCTTGTCTTTGATTTGCATGGAAAAGAACCAGAAGGTGCTGAGGGGCTGTGGTTCCCAACAGGATTCTGGGGCCTGCAGTTCTTTCCACGCAGCCTCAGAGCTGAGCTGGAAGCCAGGGGGCAGGCCCAGGACCATGTACAGAGGTGCACAAGTTAAGAGCACAAAGGTTGGCAAATGCAGATGAGTGTCCAGTTTAGGCAATTAATGAGGCTTTGGTTAAAGCTGTTCTAAAGCTTTAGCTGTAAATATACATAAAATAAAGCTATTCTATAAAATTTAGCTAAAGCTATAGTTAAACTATTCTAAAATTTATAGGGAACCAAAAAAAGAGCCCGAATAGCCAAAGCAAATCTAAGTAAAAGGAACAAAGTTGGGCACATCACATTGCCCCAGTTCAACCTATACTATAAGACTATAGTAACCATTAAACTAAAGTCTCATTAAACTAACCATTAAACTACAGCCTTTTATAAGAAATCAATTTGATAAAAGGGAACAACATAAAAGTTTATCTCACTGAAAGCCTTGTGTAAGAATTCAGAAATTAGAATCAGAGGGAAAAATTATATGCATTTAGCTAGTCAATGTCTTTTGATTCAGACAAATGTCAAGGAAATCTTTCTTCTTCCCTGCATATTTCACACTTATTTATGTTTTCCCAAAAATTATTTTGGTGCAGTTTAACTATGACTATTGAATATATGTGACCTTTCTAATTATTAAATTGCTTTGGTAGAATAATTTTATACACTGATCTATGGCATTTCTAATAATAAAAAGCAAGAAAATGCATAATAGCTAGATGTATGCTAGATTAGGAAAGAAATGTGAGAAAATATGTTTACAAAACACTGTTACTATAGTGCTGTGTCCTTAAATACATGTTGGTAGGAGAAGCATCAAGGAGTCCGCTAAGGTCACCTCCCAGGTTCCCCCATAAGACCTCACTCTCATGCAAGAATCTATTAACTTGTGTTCTCCATTTTACTGTCAGGTCCTTGAGGGAGGGATTATGCCCATCCTGTGCCAAGAGCATCTAGTTTGTGGCACGTGGGAGCACTTAGCAAATATTTTGTTGAATGACTAAATAAGGCGTTTCATAGCTGGAAACTTCAGAAAAGGGCCATGTGCCCAGGCACAGAGGGACTGGTTACAGAAGAGGTGCCGTAGCAAATTAGGGTGATCCAGAAGCTTCTTCCCAGGAAAAGTCTTCTTGTCAGGGTGTCTTTTGGGATTGTATTCATATTGGAAGCCCTGGGGCAGCCAGGTTATTGTTCATCAGTTCTGAGCAACGTGGATATGCTCCATATGAACATGGAAGGATAAAAATAGCATCCTCCTGTGCTTGCTGCAAAAGGAGCACTCAAGACAAATGATAGGCCCACCAGGGATGGCTGAAAGGTGCCTGCATCTTTTAAACATCTACTGTGGATTTGAATGAAAATGCACATAATTATAGGATGAGAAATTTACTTTTGATCTGGGCTGGAAATAGAGTGTGACTCTGGTTGCGTGTATTTTTTCAGACAAACCCTGCTTGCAGGCATTCTGCATTTATCTGGGGTTTGCAGAACGTTTTTTTCCTCAAGGTTCGTCTGACTGCTCTTGATTTTTTCATCTTTTAATACTGAGCAGATCTAATTTCTGTACAATATTGCGTTCATTACACTGAAAATTATGCTATATTTAATGATGCAAGTAAATTGAAAAGTATTGGCTAAAATCTGGAAACATTTCTCTCTTAAAATTGCTGTTTCCAAATGTCAACTGAATTTCTAGAATTCATTTAATGTCCCTTTGTCTAGGTTATGGGAGCATTTCCAAGGTGATTCTCAATGTACACTTTTAGCCTCACATGAATAGAAAAAAATCTTATTATGGTGTTTTAGAACACCAGCCCCTTAATTCTCCCCTACACTCAGAGCTACAGGATATAATAACCCAACCCCACAGATACAGAGGGGCCTGCCTGGCTTTAACCCCAGAAGACATCACGTCAGGTTCGGCAGAGAGCAATACAGAAGCACTTCTATAAAGGCTCTTTTGCAGCTTTCATGGCCAGTCAAGAGATGATAAAACAGAATGGGGAGGAAGTGGCACCCAACAGGGTGCAGCTCCTTCATCTGCATAGAATAAGCAGAGCCTATTTCTCATTCATGCGCCCATGAAAATGGGTGTTTCTGATTGGAGAGCATCTCTTTTCCAGTGGTAATAAGGGGCCAGGACTCTCCCACACTGTCCCCCACCAACCACCTTCAGCACTGGCTTCCCAGATCTCTGTGCAGCACTGCACAAGCCAGGGAAGGGAAAGGGCACGCCAGCCTTGAGAGAAGTCGTGAGTCACTTCCTCCCTCCCATGGTGCTCTAGATGCCAGCCACATGGTCATGCATACTAACCCCAAAAGAGGCCGGCAGAGGTGGTTCATTTGGGTGAACCCCAAGTGAAATGGAAGTAAGTTTTATAAACAGCTATCTAGTCTCTAACCCATTCCAATAAGCCAGGAAATTATAAGTATAAAAAAGTTAAATCCTACATGACTGAAAGAAATGTATCCTATAAGATCATCTGTTATAGGCTCTGTGCCTGTCTTTTTTTCTGCTTAGAAGCTGCTGTATCAAAATTACAGAAGGTCTCCAGGTACCTAGTGACACTCTTTGGGCATTCAAGAGCATAACTCACACCTTCCAAAGTTAGATTTTGATCATTTTGCACCTCCATGGATGGGTAGTGTCAAATTCAGGTTCTAACACAATCAACCTTTAAGATCATGCAGCCCTGTAGGACAGAGATAGCCATCCACAAGGGCTTGCTTCTGGATCTCAGGTGGCACCACTGCTTTCTGTTCTGCTAATGAGTAAAACTGGCTCCATACAAATACATATTAAATATGATTCACTGAAATATGAAAAATATATTTCAAAAAACAAATATTTAAATATTCGTTTTTTCATATATAAAGTTTAAATGATCAAAAATGACATCAATAATATAAAGACATTGGTAGTGCTTTACTTAATACGAAACTCTAAATCTTATCAGGACTGTGTGCAGGCTAATCTCAATGATCTCAATTATTTTTCTTGTGCCTAGTTTTGTCACTCTAATTCCAAGTCTTGCTTTTGAAGTAATATAACAATTTTCTTATAAATTTGTTGGAAGTATCATTTTACAACCCCCAACTGGGGAGGGCAGGAAAATGCCCCCCAAACACATTCACATCCTAATCCTGGAGCCTGTGAACATGCCGTCCTACACAGCAAAAGGGACATGGCAGATGCGATTACGTTAACAGGTCTTGAGATGGGGTGATTAGCCTGGATTAGCCAGGTGGGCTCAACAGGAGCACAATCTCTAGTCCTTACAAAGAGGAGGCAAGGAGGTCTCAGTTAGAGAGAGGAGATGTAACGGTGGAGGCAGAGGTTGAGTGGTGTGCTTTGTAGATGGAGCAAGGGGACATGCCCCAAGGAATGCAGGCAGCTCCTGGAGGCCGAAAAGATAAGGAGACACATTCTCCCCTAAACCTCCAGAACCAGAACCAGCCTGAACCAATGCAGCTCTGCTACCACCTTGATGTCAGCCTGCGAGACCCATCTCAGACTTGTGACTTCAGAATTATCAGATACACTTGTGTTGTTTTAATATACTAAGTTTGGTGTAAGTTGTTACAGCAGCCATAGGAGATGAACCCCAACAGCTTCAAGCCAGCCTCTCTGAGCACCTCATGGCCTGGCTACCTTTTTAATTACTCTAGGTTACCATCTGTGGCAGACATTTTCAGTGGCCTTACCCAGCACACTTCTCCCTTTCCTCCAGGGGATAAAGATAGTGTTGTGCTAAACAAATCTGCGTTGCCAGCCATGTGGATTGCATCAATTTGGAAGGAACTTTCAACTCAGTGGTGGAAAGGAGAGGGATTGTTTCTGAGAAGCTTTTCTACCTCTTGAGACAAAAGGAAAGTTTCGTCCCTTTTTTTGCTTCTGGATGTTGTCATGTCTAGCTGTGATTCCTGGAGCCCCTGCAACCATTCTGTGATTGGAAGGGGAGCTGCAGACCCTCTGCAGACTACATGGGGAATGTCTCGGAGCAGAGGGTACTTGATGCCATTGCTGAACCACTCAGTCATCCAACCAGCTGTAGAGCTGCTCTAGGGACTTCCTGATTCTTGCTGCTGAACAAGCTGATTAATACAACTGCATAGGTACTTGTTGGGCATAGCTTTCAGGCCTTCCAGGAGTAAATGAGGAGCAGGAGAAAAGTAATTGTGAACAAGAGAGGGTGAAAGGAAAAAAGGTTCATATAAATCATAGATACCAGAAACTTCATACAATGAGGAGGAAAATTACTTCCAGTAACATCAATGAAATAAACCTTTTTATCTATTTCATGGTTTGTATTTTTATATTTCCTTTTATATTCTGTTCTTTTTACTCCACTGAGTGAAGGAGATAAAGTCTTGTTCTGATGTGAAATGTACCATCAGAGTCACAAGGGCATCACTGGCATATGAAACTATACCTGTGCCTTACCTGGGCAGGAAGGAGACTGTTTCACTCACCTTGTGGATGAGCATGGCCAGTCCACTTCTATGATACATACATATGCATACCTTTTTATATGAGAAATAGATTTCTCTAGATATATAGAATTAGCCAAAATTCTATCGAGATACAGTAAGTTCCAACATAAAGTTTCTTCCAGCTTATGAGAGCTGATTGACACATCTCTTCCTAGTGATTTCAAGTTGGAGGCTTGAAATTTATACCACAAAAATCAGCAGCTACCGCTCATCAGAGCTCCCCTTCCCAGAGCCAGTTGTTATGTCACAGGAAAGGGGTCCCCTTCCAGACCCCAAGAGAGGGTTCTTGGATCTCACACAAGAAAGAATTCAGGGTGAGTCCACAGTGCAAAACAAAAGTAAGTTTATTAAGAAAGTACAGGAATAAAAGAATGGCTACTCCATAGACAGAGTAGCCCTGAGGGCTGCTTGTTGCCCATTTTTATGGTTATTTCTTGATGATATGGTATACAAGGGGTGGACTATTCATGCCTCCCCCTTTCAGACCATATAGGGTAACTCCTGATGTTGCCATGGCATTTGTAAACTGTCGTGGCACTGGTGGGAATGTAGCAGTGAGGACGACCAGAGGTCACTTTCATCGCCATCTTGGTTTTGGTAGGTTTTAGCCAGCTTCTTTACTGCAACCTGTTTTATCAGCAAGGTCTTTATGACTTGTATCTTGTGCTGACCTCCTATCTCATCCTGTGACTTAGAATGCCTGAACCATCTAGGAATGCAGCCCAGTAGCTTCTTCAAGCTGAATAGGCGCAATGATATTCCTGCCTAACTTCTAGGGTCTCTTGTGTTCAGGGTAGAGAGGAGCTCAGTCAGAAAGCATCAGTATGGCAAGGGCCATTCATGACTCTTGAGTTCCAATAAGAGGTGATATCTGGAAGATTAATAAGTACTCAGTTTAAGAAAATGTTGAGTAAGCTTATTCTGCATTCTTACTCAAAGAGTACAGCAGCAATATATTCTACAACAATAAAGCCAAATAAGTAAAATTATCCCAAGTAAACTAAATTAGAAGGCTTTCCATGAACTAGGCAACTGTTGGAACCAAGCTGGTAGGGGGTTGCTAGATCATTCCAGTACATGCCCAGAATTAGAACACTGATTTAGATTTTTACATTACCCATCCCTCTTGTTTCTTCTGAGCAGCAGTCAGAGATCACTGGTTGGTTTGCAGGAATAAGCACGGTTAGCCTAAATTGCAAAAACAAACTTAAAAACAACTGATGAGACTAGAATCTAATAAGAAGTGTACCATAGTTCTTACAACATAACTTTTTTGTTTGCAGTTTCCCATTTTTACTAAAGACAAATCAGCAAGACAAATTTGCTTTATTATACTTGGCCTGATTATTTGTATAAAGTACAACAAGGAAAATTATTTTTTACATAAGCTCTTTTTAAATTGGCTTTGATGGAACTCTATTCCATAGAAGAAATCTTAGATAAGACTTTTTTAAAGCTGAGCCCAGCCATGGGTTTCTACCCTCAAATACCTCTGAGTTGGGTAAATTCCTTTTTCTGAGATCCCAAGATAACTTGGGGCTCCTGGACCTGTTAGAAAGTGACATTCTTTACTTACCACAGGTCAGAAACCTTATACAGGGACTGTATAATAGGCAAGGTATGAGGCCAGTTTTCCAAACAGCTTTTATTGGCTCTACAAGTCAAGTTTGACTCCTTAAACGAATGCAAACTATTCCAGTCAAAGCCCTGGTAAAATAACCAGTTTCTCCAATTGTGTCATGTTGCAAAGAAAACAGATTCTTATTGCACTTATGCAAATAACTGTATTGCCATAAATTAAGAATATTCACAAATAGTTTCCAACTTCTGGAGAAATCAGATAGAGAGAAACAAATATGCTCCAGATTTTGTTTACAGGAGTATAGTTTACTTAATTGCTAAAAAGCTGTAAATAGCTCAAAAGTTTTCTTGACTCTGAAAAGCAAAACAAAGGATCAGCAGCATTTTAAGCAAAAAGTTAAAAAATATTACTTTAGACTTTCATTAGTTTAGTTCATGCAGTTAACTTCTGTTTGATATTCATGAACATTTCAGCTCTCTATGAGAGTTCTGAAAGTTTTTTCCTCTATTCTAATGTCATAATTTCCAAAGTTAGCAGAAACTTGCATTCAAGAGCACCTGTCAAAGCCCTATAGCTGATTACAAACCACCTTTGGAAGATGATCAAAATAAGACAATTGTTTGTGGATGACAAAAGATGTTAGAACAGCCACAGTCAAAAACACGATTAACAAAGAAATTTGGTTACCTTTGTGGCATACAATAATTCAACACAATTATAATTATTACTGATAATGTACACTAAGTCATATCAGAATTATAAGAGTTTTTTATAATTTTAGAAGACATACCAATAACATTTATACAAATACAGCCCAAAGAAAACCAATCATTTTATATTTGACAGTGCTTCCTGTGTGACTTTTATACCAAATAAGCCAAATGTCACTGTTGCATTAGTGCATTATTGATGTCAGACCCAATTCTTAGTAAACCTTATAGATAAATATATCCAATCTTATTCAGTTTGACCATAAGGTAAGATTCTTATAAACCTTTTATAACCCTTTACAAATTTTTGTGAAAGAGCAGATCATAAGCAGGTTTTTGCTCTAAGAAAAACCTATTATGCTTTTATTCCAATGTTTAGTTTATGGAAAAGCTGAAAAATGCCACTTTAATTTTAGTCAATGCAGACTCTCTTACAATTAATTTTTCACAAACCTTCCATAACTTGCTTAAGCCTTCAGCTTCATCCTAACTTAAAACAATCCATTAATCCTTTAATCTAGGCCAAAAAAATTACATTTCCATGCCTTTTTATAATCTTTTACCAAAAACACATTTCACTTTTCTTATACACCTTGTGTATAGAACTGTGTCTTCACTAGTCTCAAATACATGTTATCCTGTTAACTCTTAGCAGCTTTTACTTTTGATGAAAAACCTGGTTAGTAAGCAATTTTATTTATGTATTAGATGTGGGGCCTAGGACCCAGACAGAAGTGCAGATAAGGTCTGACTCTCTCCAGCGTTTAACTTCACATGTCTCAGGCCTTACCTAGAATCTAATGCTCCAAAATAAATGGAACAGTTTTCAAAAGTCAAAGAAACAGTGTATAACCTTAAAGCATTTAGTAAACTTAATATTTGATCTGCATAATGTAGACCAAATATTTATAGTTCTGAAGATATTTTTATTTTATGAATAATCTTTAAAACTCTATTTCCCAAAGATTACTTAAGTCACATGAACTAAATAAAAGGCATTACACTTTTTACTTTTCTGACAAAATATTTGATTTAAGTGCTTATTATTAAACCAATTAATTAAAGCTCTTTCATTTATAAACATCATACACAGAATACATATAAATACATAGAAAGATAAAAGATAGAGGACTCATTTTCCAAGCCAGGAATTGAATCCTGAACCCAGGCCACCATTGTGAAAAGAGAAAGCATGGCCACATGGTTACAAGGTCAAGCCCCCAAGGACATAGAAGACAAGAGGGAAACCTCATCCAGTGTTTTTTCAGGGACCTGTAGCAAAGTTTAGAACTGACCAGTTTGCTGGGTCACCTTGAACAGCAGTCTTACAGGTGTCCTAAGCCCATGTTCTATCCCTAGGGACCCCTCATTGTGACAGAACAATAAAGAAAGACACATAAAGCACACCAGATTGGCTACAGCTTAAGACTAGCCTCACAAATCCTTTTTTCCATTAATCAAACTTTACAGAGGAGATAAACAGTGATTTTTACCATTCATTCAACCAGTTTGCACAGAGAGAGAAACAGCGGAAAAGCATTGCCTGCAGCAGGGTGGGAAGGCAAGGCGCTCAGGGAGGCCAGAGAAAGACCCACCCATTGCAGCAACATTGAAAAGTTCAGGCAGCTGCTTGTCAGTAGCAAAGGGATCTTTTCCAGCAGTCTCATCAGCTCTCAAGTTTCCCCTTTTAGGGAAGAAAAAGCTCCCCATGTCCCACAATCCCGTACATGCCTAATTCTGTCACTCACAGCTATTAGCAAAGAGCAAGGCAGATTATTCCAAAGAGAATAGCAGTTAACATCCTGTAGTACCAAACCCGTTCTTAGCTGAGAGGGACTTTAATGAGAGGGACTTTACCAAGAGGGGCCTCTAAACCCCTGAATCTTAGAAGGCACTCTAACCCTCCTAAATTGGGCTTCTAACCCAAGGTTGGTCAAGCATCCGTGCCTTTTATGAAGAGGGGCCTCTAACCCACTCATTCTTAAGAGAGACTCTAACTCCCCTAAGTTGGGCCTCTAATTCAATCCCATTCTTTACCTGGCTATATGCACCCCACTTACCTGAAGGCCGCCAATCAGTGCCATAGTCTCTTTCCTTTGGGTTGGGGGATCTCCTCAGCATCGTCCCTTCCATGTTCACCAGAAAGATGTCACCAGACACCACCACTTACCTAGTTAGCCTTTGGGTCCCTTTATGGTAGCCAGAAAAATGTTACAGGGAAGGGGTCCTAATCCAGACCCCAAGAGAGGGTTCTTGGACCTCGCGCAAGAAAGAATTCAGAGTGAGTCCACAGTGCAAAGCAAAAGCAAGTTTATTAAGAAAGTAAAGGAATAAAGAATCGCTACTCCATTGACAGAGCAGCCGTGAGGGCTGTTGGTTGCCCATTTTTGTGGTTATTTCTTGATGATATGCTAACAAGGCGTGGATTATTCATGCCTCCCCCTTTCAAACCATATAGGGTAACTTCCTGATGTTGCCATGGTACTTGTAAACTGTCATGGTGCTGGTGGGAGTGTAGCAGTGAGTATGACCAGAGGTCACTCTCATCGCCATCTTGGTTTTGGTGGGTTTTAGCCGGCTTCTTTACTGCAGTCTGTTTTATCAGCAAGGTGTTTATGACCTGTATCTTGTGTTGACCTTCTATCTCATCCCATGACTTAGAATGCCTTAACTGGGCCGGGCACAGTGGCTCATGCCCATAAACTCAGCACTTTGGGCGGCTGTGGCAGGTAGATCACCTAAGGTCAGGAGTTCCAGACCAGCCTGGCCAACATGGTGGAACCCTGTCTCTACTAGAAATACAAAAATTAGGCTGGGCACGGTGGCTCATGCCTATAATCTCAGCACTTTGGGAGGCCAAGGCAGGCAGATCACGAGGTCAGGAGATCGAGATCAGCCTGGCCAACATGGTGAAATTCCGTCTCTACTAAAAATACAAAAATTAGCCAGGTACGGTGGCAGGTGCCTGTAATCCAGCTACTTGGGAGGCTGAGGCAGGAGAATCACTTGAACTTGGGAGGCGGAAGTTGCAGTGAGCCTAGATCATGCCACTGCACTCCAGCCTGGGCGACAGAGTAAGACTCCATGTCAAAAAATAATAATAATACAAAAATGAGCCAGGCATGGTGGTGTGTGCCTGTAATCCTAGCTACTTGGGAGGCTGAGGCAGGAGAATCACTTGAACTCGGGAGGTGGAGGTGAGCCGAGATCATGCCATTGCACTCCAGCCTGGGTGACAAGAGTGAGACTCTGTCTCAAAAAAAAAAAAAAAAAAAAAACAAAGAATGCCTTAACCGCCTGGGAATGCAGCCCAGTAGGTCTCAGCCTCATTTTACCCAGCTCCTATTCAAGATGGAGTTGCTCTGGTTCAAACGCCTCTGACAGTTACACATTTGCCAGTACACCACTGGGAACAATGAAAGGAAATACTTGGTTTCTACTCTCATCGATGATTTTAACTTTAATAACTTTTGGTATTGCCTTATTTCTAATCAAAATGTAATGACATGACTAATATTTTAATTTGCTAAGTCAGTCTGCTCAGATCTGCTGAATTGATCTGCTCAAATTAATTGCTAATGCTAATAGTATGTTGCAAGACTGAAGGTTTAACCACTTGAAGCATGCAAACTTATTTTGTGGATTTTTAAAACTTATTTTATCTCTCTATATGTTAAAACTATATAGACTATCAGAAATTGGCATTAGGGAATTATTTAGCTCTCTCATTTTCCATAGTTCCAGGCCTTATAAAGAGCCACACTGTGAGTACAGACAGTACTGAATCTGACTCACAGCCGCATTCTGGAAACTGCTAGGCTGCATATTGTGGATCATAACACATAACCCTGGAATGAGGCCAGATCTAATAAAACTAATAAGCTGCGCCTTGTTTGACACATTTCATGAATTGAAAGTGCAGGAGCCTAAATGAAATCAAAGGCCCCTTTCAGTTGGCAAAGAACAATGAGCCTAAATAAGTTAGGATTGATGAGTGGGCAATTCAATCACCTCCTGCCTTTGGGCGAGTCATTTTACCCTAAATGGGATGCTGGTTCTCACTTGTGAATCAAAAGGGGATTGAAATGAGGGATTTAAAGTCACACAAAATGACTTGTTATCCCAGATGACTAAAGCCAGGAGGTCTGAAACCAACACTTGCTTGATGTGTTTTGCAGAAATTTCCACACACTAAAGTAGAGGACACTTGATCCAGAGAGGGTGGAGTGAATTAACTAAAGAGCAATTTATTTACTCTTTTATTTATCCATCCATCCATCCATCCACCTATCCATCCAGCTATCCATCCATCCATCCATCCATCCATCCATCCATCCATCCATCCATCCATCCATCCATTCACCCAGGTCTCTGTGACAGACCCTGAGCCATGCTAAGTTCTGGGCCAGATATAAAGCAGAAATAAAGAAAGATAGACCTAACGAGAGAGGCGAATTGTAAACAAGTGTGTGTGTGCATGCATGTGTGTACATGTGCCTATATGTGGTGTTGGGAACAAATGCCTCAATGTGCAAAACACTGTAACCCTCTTTGTCATCCGTAACTGTTCTCTTCTTGCTTTGGAGATTGCATCTCCACTCATGAAATCTGGGAGTGGCAGAAGAGAAGGAGGCATCTGAAGCCCGTCCGAGGGTCTCAGGGCTTCACTTCCCTTACTCCCTTCTCTCCCCAGTTGACATCACCTGGGTGTCAGCAGACGCTTAGTTGGCTTCTGATGCAGAGCAGAGTGTCTGCAATCTGCCTCACGTTGTCCTCTCTTCTCACTCCTACAAATGTTCGGCTGAGCTCCAAGGTCCTCTTCACCTGGCCCTTGGCTGTGGGCCTCCTCATTGTATACCTTCTTGAGGTTGCCATGGTTAGAACCTGTCTTTGGTCTGTTCTCTTAGCATTCATAGCACCTGCTGACTGTTGCAGGTTTGTGGGTGCTGGCTGACTCCCAAAGCTCAGCTCACACCAGTGCTCCTGAGCTGCATCTGCCATCCTTTCCCTGGCTTTGAGCTGGTCACTGTCAGGCTCTGCTGTGACCTGAAACTTCTTCGGCCCATGCCCTGAGAAACAAAGTACAGCAGGGAACAACTATCCTCTCGCAACATACTCGGGCACCCCAGGATTTCCCTCAGTCGTCTCCGGTTACCTACAGCACAGACGCATGTGCACATGCATGCACACACACACACAGTTTCCACCCTGGAGGGGAGGGTCTGGGACTGTACTGCTGGCCGCTTGCTCTCCACTCACCCTGTCTCTCCTGCCTCTGCTGCCCCTTCCTGTCTGGGAGGCACTCCCTCTGGCTTCCCTACTCCAACTAGGAAGACAAAGGAAGATTTACTGAATAGGTAAATATTTGGGTACCCACTTAATGATTATTCATGTAATTATAATATACTACTTCTAATGCTTTTATAGTAAAGTGGCAATAATAATGATTAGCAAGTACCAGGCAGTGTTCTAGATGGTTTACATGAATTAACTAATACATTATTTACCATAGGCAGCTGATGTATGTACTGTTATCATTTCCATTTTAATGAGGAGACTGAGGTGAGTTGCCCAAGGTCCTATCACTAATTTGTGGCAGAGGCTGGGGCAGGATTTGGACTTAGGCTCCAACATGTACACCTTAACCACTATTATGTGGAAAGGATGCAGTATGATTTCATAAAGAATAAAAAGATGAACATCAAAATGGAAAAACTGGAGAAGTACTCCAGGCATACAGAAGAGCAGGACACATCTAGCAAATATTTGGTGTATTTGGAACTGAAGATGTGAGGGTGAAATGTTAGAATGTGAAGCTGGAAAGAAAATGGGGACAGATTCTGGAAAACGGAGTACAACACAGTGAAGCGTTGAGGATAGACCCTGCACACAGCCAGTGAAGGGCCTTTGGTAGATGAGTGACATGGACAAAGTATTTTTAGAAGGGAGTGTCTGGCTGCAACCTGAAGAATGAGCCAGAGAGGAGAGAGACTGCTATCCAGAGGTCATTTGAGAACTGGCTCATTGGTTAATTAAGTCAACAAATATGAGGTGGCCTCTGTCTCATGAATTGGTATGAAATGTTATAGAGCAAAAAAGAATGGATGGAATATGCCATCCAGGGCTCACAAGTTAGTGAGGGTGACAGAATATAAACAAATACATAAGCATAATAAATGCCCTCATAGATCTCTACGCAACAGGCACTGCTGTTACAGAGGGTTTAATTCTCCCTAGAGAGGACAGGAAGGGCTCTCTGAGCTGGGTGCAAAGGCATATCCTATGGGAATAGGAAACACATAGAACACAGTTACATGACTTTAGGTTTACAATTCCATAAAATTGTGTGTTTCAGGTGCCTGTTATACTACTAGTCCTGAATAGAAATGAAATATTTTATGAGTTTGCATATAAAATATCCTAGTTAACTGATATGGTTTAGATCTATGTCCCCACTCAAATCTCAACTCAAACTGTTATCCCTGTGTGTCGAGGGAGGGACCTGGTGGAAGATGATTGGATCATGAGGGCAGTTTACCCCGTGCTATTCTCATAATAGAGAAGGAGTTCTCACGAGATTTGATGGTTTATTGAGATTTTATGGTTTAAAAGTGGCAGTTTCCCCTGCACTCTCTCTCTCCTGCTGCCAAGTAAGATGTGCCTTGCTCCCCCTTCAGCTTCCACCATGATTGTAAGTTTCCTGAGGCCTTCCCAGTGATGGAGAACTGTGAGTCAATTAAACCTCTTTCCTTCATAAATTACCCAGCCTCAAGTAGTATCTTTATAGCAGTGTGAGAACAAACTAATACAGAAAATTGGTACCAGCAGAGTGGGGTACTGCTATAAAGATAACCTGAAAATATGGAAGTGACTTTGGAACTGGAAAACAGGCAGAGATTCAAACAGTTTGGAGGACTCAGAAGAAGAGAGGAAAATGTGGGAAAGTTTGGAACTTCCTAGAGACTTGTTGAATGGTTTTGACCAAAATGCTGATAGTGATATGGACAATGAAGTCCAGGCTGAGGTGGTCACAGATGGAGATGAAGAATTTATTGGGAACTGAAGCAAAGGTCACTCTTGCTATGCTTTAGCAGAGAGACTGGCAGCATTTTGCCCCTGCCCTTGAGATCTGTGGAACTTTGAACTTGAGAGAGATGATTTAGGGCATCTGGCAGAAGAAATTTCTAAGCAGCAAAGCATTCAAGATGTGGCCTGGCTTTTTCTGAAAGCATTCAGTTATATGTGTTCACAAAGAGATGGTTTGATATTGGAACTTATGTTTAAAAGGGAACCAGAGCAGAAAAGTTTGGAAAATTTGCAGCCTGACCATGTAGTAGAAAAGAACAACCCATCTTCTGGTGAGGAACTCAAGCTGGCTGCAGAAATGTGCATAAGTAATGAGATGCCAAATGTTAATAGCAAAGACAATGGAGAAAATGTCTCCAGGACATGTCAGAGATCTTCATGGCAGCCCTTCCCATCACAGGCCTTGAGGTCTAGGAGGGAAAATAGTTTCGTGGGCTGGGCCTAGGGCCCCACTGCTCTGAGCGGCCCCAGGATATGGCATCCTGCATCCCAGCTACTTCAGCTCCGGCTGTGGCTAAAAGGTGACAAGGTACAGATCAGGCCATTGCCTCAAAGTGTGTGAGCCCCAAGCATTGGCAGTTTCCACAAGGTTTTGGGCCCGCAGGTGCACAGAAGACAAGAGTTGAGGTTTGGGAGCCTCTGCCTAGATTTCAGAGGCTGTATGGAAACATCTGGATATCCAGGCAGATGTCTGCTGCAAGGGCAGAGCCCTCATGGAGAATTTCTGCTAAGGCAGTGCAGAAGGGAAATGTGGCATTGGAGCCCCCATACAGAGTCCCCACTGGGGCACTGCCTAGTGGAGTTGTCAGGAAAGGGCAACTGTTCTCCAGGCACCAGAAAAATAGATCAACTGACAGCTTGTGCCATGTGCCTGGAAAAGCCACAGCCATTCAAGGCCAGCCCGTGAAAGCAGATGCAGGAAGTGTACCCTGCAGAGTCACAGGGGTGGAGCTGCCTAAGGCCATGGGAGCCCACCTCTTTCATCAGCATGCCCTGGATGTAAAATATGGAGTCAAAGGAGATTTTGGAGCTTTAAAATCTAATGACTGCCCAGCCAGTTTTCAGACTTTCATGGGGCCTGTGGCTCCTTTGTTTTGGCTAATTTCTCCTATTTGGAATGGGAACATTTACCCAATGCCTGTACCCCCATTGTATCTTGAAAGTAACTAAGTTGTTTTTTATCTTACAGGCTCATAGGTGGAAGGTACTTGCCTTTTTTCAGATGAGACTTTGGACTTGGACTTTTGAGTTAATGCTGGAATTTAGTTAAGACTTTAGGGGACTGTTGATAAGGCATGATTAGTTTTGAAATGTGAAAAGGACATGAGATTTGGGAGGGGCCGGGGCAGAATAATATGGTTCGGCTCTGTGTCCTCACCCAAATCTTATCTCAAATTATAATCCCCATACATCAGCCGGGTGCAGTGGCTCATGCCTGTAATCCCAGCACTTTGAGAGGCCAAGGCGGGCGGATCACGAGGTCAGGAGATTGAGACCATCCCAGCTAACATGGTGAAACCCCGTCTCTACTAAAAATACAAAAAATTAGCTGGGCGTGGTGGCGGGCGCCTGTAGTCCCAGCTACTTGGGAGGGTGAGGCAGGAGAATGGCGTGAACCTGGGAGGCGGAGCTTGCAGTGAACCGAGATCGTGCCACTGCACTCCAGCCTGGGTGACAGAGCAAGACTCTGTCTCAAAAAAAAATAAAAATAAAAAATAATCCCCATACATCAAGGGAGGGACCTGGTGGGAGGTGATTGGATCATGGGACCAGTTTCTCCCATGCTGTTCTCATGATAATGAGGGAGTTCTCATGAGATTTGATGGTTTACAAGTGCAGTTTCCTCTGCGCTGTCTCTCTCCAGCCACCATGTAAGACACGCCTTGCTTCCCCTTAGCCTTCTGCCATGATTGCTAGTTTCCTGAGTCCTCCCCAGTCATGTGGAACTGTGAGTCAGTTAAATCTCTTTCCTTCGTAAATTACCCAGTCTCAAGTAGTATTTTATAGCAGTGTAAGAATGGACTAATGCATTGACCATGTTCATTGTGCAATGAAATGGGTATTCAGCAACCATATACTCGAGTATTTTATTAACTCCCAAACGAAGACAGAATAATCCACATATTCAGCAGCTTGATTAAGACTCATAGGAGGCAGGGGATTTTAAGTAGCAAATCAAGCACTGCCCTGTCTTCACAGACATGCAAACATATTCTGTTTTGTTTTGTTTTGTTTTGTTTGAGTTGGAGTTTTGCTTTTGTTGCCCAGGCTGGAGTGCAATGGCATGATCTCAGCTCACTGCAACTTCCGCCTCCCGGGTTCAAGCGATTCTCCTGCCTCAGCCTCCTGAGTAGCTGGAATAACAGGCATGCACCACCACGCCTGGCTAATTTTGTATTTTTAGTAGAGACGGGGTTTCTCCATGTTGGTCAGGCTGGTCTCAAACTCCTGACCTCAGGTGATCTGCCCACCTCAGCTTCCCAAAGTGCTGGGATTACAGGCTTGAGCCATGCGCCTGGCCACACATATTGCAGCTGGAACGTGGTGGCATAGCAGTCTCTATGTAAGTGGCCATGGAAGATCACAACAAAGGGCAGCAGGGCACAAAGTCCAGAGAGCCAGGAGCAAGGGGAATTGGTGATGCTAGAAATTTAGAGCTGGAAAGAGCAGAAAAAAGAGCATCCTAAATAGCGATGCTTGGTCTTCTCCAGCAGTCATGGAGGAGTCAGGGTTCACTGTGAGAAGAGAGACACCATTTCCACAAATTGTCTAATGAGAATCTGGAGAATGACCCTCTTATTCTCTGTGGATTTGAATTTTCTCTGTAGGCTTCAATGAGTTAAAGAAAATACTCTTCAAACTACATACTAAGAAGTTCAGTCTTTCTTATGGCAAATAAAGAAAACCTAGTAACTTTTTAAAACTCTACTTTATTATTATGACTTGAGATGTTTGTTTCTAAAATTACAACCCAGTGGACTGGCTGTACATTTTTCTATGTCATTTGTATACAATCTAAAAGGTCTAAATAACTTGATTGTGAATACTGTGTTTGCTGTAAAAAAAAAAAAAAGAGAGAGAGAAAAAAAGGCACACTTAGATGAGTGGCCTACGGGTAAACTATGAAAGCAGAGATTCTACTACACAGATAATAATTTTTCATTAAAAACTTGTCAAGGTTTAGTTGATAAATGTGATTATCAATAAATTTTACATCCTGTTATTTAATCAGCTTATATATGTATCTACAGTCATTGCATAAACATGGAATTGTCTGTACCCAAAATGCATTTAGAAGTACATTATTGTAATACAAAAGAAGTTTCCAGTCTTTTATGTTCTTATCCCCTAGATTTATTATTATACGCAAACCCAAAAAGAAGGTGTCACTTTCTGGAAACGTATTCTGACCTATTTTGAAGTACCCTGAATGGCTGGCAGACATTGCTCCATGTGCAGTTTTAACCTGCGAGCTCTCTGGGCTGTGTGTGCTGTGTCCTTCACGAATGACTTCTGTTCTTCAATCACTGTAAACAAAGTGACAGGAGCACCAAGAGAGTTTAAGAAAGAAAATGTTGGCATACAAAAAGAATTTTTTTCTATACAAAGTAAAATTTAAAGAATACAGTGAGCCAGACACAGTGGCTCACGCCTGTAAACCCAGCATTTTGGGATGCTAGTGAGGGCAGATCATTTTGAGGTCAGGAGTTTGAGACCAACCTGGCCAACATGACAAAACCCCATCTCTACCAAAAATACAAAAACTAGGTGGGCATGGTGGTGAGCCTGTAGTCAACTACTTGGGGGGCTGAGGCAGGAGAACTGCTTGAACCCAGGAGGCGGAGCTTGCAGTGAGCCGAGATCGCACCACTGCACTCCAGCCTGGGTGACAGAGCAAGACTCCGTCTAAAAAAAAAAAATCATCAGTTCGAGACTATAGCAGAAGTTCAAGTATGAAGCCACAGGGGTCTGAATGGTGGTATTGACCTACAAGGCAGGCTGAAAATGACAGGAGAAGGAATTATATGTGAAGAAATAATGGAAGAATACTTTCCAGAACTGGCTGATGAACTGAACATGGAGAATAACACGAGGGAATATGTGTTTTGGCTATAGGTTTCCAGCATTTGGGACAGTAGAACGACATGGACATTGTCGGAATCAGAGAGCTTGTGCGGAGGCCAGGATTATAGGCCGTAAGTTCTGTTTGAGATGCAGTTTATGAGGCCTCTAAGTGGATGTGCCCAAAGATTTCAGATACACGTTCTGGGTTTTGGAAGAGTCAGAAGTGGCGAGGCACATTGCAGAGTCATTTGGATAAAGACCATAGGTAGCATGAGCGGGTAAAGCAAGGAGGTCCTTGAGGGAAACTTTGAGGGCTGTCCTCAGTTAGAGAACAGGAAGAGGAAGACCTGGGAGTCAGGGAGCTCAGAGAATCACGCAAGATAACAGGGTGTTCATGAGCTTTGCACTAAGAAAAAATAAGGGTTGGATGTTCAGCTTGCCTATAATATGGGAAACAGATGACTTTTTTTTTTTTTTTTGAGACAGGGTCTCACTCTGTCACCCAGGCTGGAGTGCAGTGGCACGATCACGGTTCACTGAAGCCTTGGCTCCTGGGTTCATGCGATCCTCCCACCTCAGCCTCCTGAGTAGCTGGGACCACAGGTGCATATCACCAGGCCCGTCTGATTTTTAAATTTTTTTGTAGAGAAGGGTTCTCCCTGTTTCCCAGGCTGGTCTCTAATTCCTGGGCTCAAGCAATCCTCCTGCCTTGGCCTTCCAAATTGTTGGAATTACAGACATGAATCATAGCACCTGGCTGACAATTATTAAAACTACAAAAACCTGATAGAGTATATGCAATCAGGTCCATAAATTATGAAACACAAGTTGTGATGCTAGTTGTTTAGTGTCAATATAAAAATTCTTAAAAAAATGTGATGGAAGTATTTACAAAGGAACTTGAACTAGCTTATGAAGAGAGACTTATCATCGTCACTTACAAAGACCACACTCCTCTCTCACAAATACTCTAGTCCCGCGGGCTACGAGTGTGCTGGCAAACCCTCAGGTCGGTGAGTCCCACTCTTTGTGAGTTCGCCTGGAGAGCAACATGGGGAGAGCGGGAGAGGTGTCATGAGCAGGTGAGGAGCCCTGGGAAGACCCTGTTGTTAAAAATGTCATCATGGATTTATCCATTAAGGTTTTTATTTCATTTCTTTTTAGAAACAAAATACCTTTTGGAACGTTTCAGCTTACAAGCTGTTTGTATCTTGCAGTATAACTATAATTAGATAATCTGGTTGCTCCTCTCCAATGAATGAAAGCATTCAGCTGTTTAACTGGGTAAAGTGAAAAGAAAGGAGAGGTAATTTTGGTGCCTGGAGTATCTCAAGGAGGTAGGCGTGGAGGGAGCAGCCGTTGCGAAGGTTTTGGGGAGATGCCAGCAACTCTGTTGCCCATCTTTTGGTGTGTGTAGGGAAGGTGCCAAGGTGTGTTGTGGGTTCTCAGGAAGGGGGAGGTACCTGGAGGGTGGCAAGGGCACTGGCTCAGGTCTTCCCTCCTCTGTGGCCAGCAGAGGGGCACGAGGGAGCCACCCAGCCCCTCTGGGCTTCTGCCTTCTCACCTGTAGATAGGGCAACAACCACACCCACCTCACAGGAATAGAGAAAGCTAGGAACAGTGCCTGGGTAACAGGAGGGAATCAATGAATGTAAGCCATGAACAACTGCAAAGAAACCCTCTGTTATTTCTATTATTTGAGTTACCTGCCTCATCCTCCCATTCTTCTGCCTCAGGCTCCCAAGTAGCTGGGATTACAGGCGCCCGTCAACACGCCCGGCTAATTTTTTATATTTTTAGTAGAGATGGGTTTCACCATGTTAGCCAGGATGGTCTTGATCTCCTGACCTCTTGATCCACCCACCTTGGCCTCCCAAAGTGCTGGGATTACAGGTGTGAGCTACTGCGCCCAGCTTTTTTTTTTTTTTTTTTTGAGATGGAGTCTCGCTCTGTCCCCCAGGCTGGAGTACAGTGGCATGATCTCTGGTCACTGCAACCTCCGCCTCCCAGGTTCAAGCGATTCTCCTGCCTCAGCCTCCCGAGTAGCTGGGACTACAGGCGTGCGCTACCACGCCTTTTTGTATTTTTAGTAGAGACGGGGTTTCACCATGTTGGCCAGTATGGTCTCGATCTCTTGACCTCATGATCCACCCGCCTCAGCCTCCCAAACTGCTGGGATTACAGGTGTGAGGCACCGTGCCCGGCCCAAACTGATGATTCTACCCCAAGATGTTCACTCCTATACGTTGATCTTCCCAGGTCAGCCTGCACTTCAGACTATACTTACCAAATTGTTATTCAATCATCTCTATTTCCCTTGATGCCTAAAGTGTCCAGTCCAGACTCAGCCTGCAGAGAGGGCTCCCTCCTGGCTCCCTGATATCACCTGCCAGTTCATTCCAACTCAGGCCACCTTAACCCTAACAACGAGCCACTGTATCTTGACTATGCTGTGCTCCCCTCTGTGCCATCACTCAGGGGGTATCCTCTGCCCAGAACACTCACCCCTCCTCATCTCACAGGGCTCATCAAAGTCCCCCCATCCCAATGAAACATTTTCCTGACTCCAGCCCATAATGATCTCTCCTTTCTCTTAACCAGAGCTTTTTTCCACGTAGCCTTGGTATGTACCCTTCATTTGGTACTTAATCACTTGAAATCTTACTTAACTTTTTGTGATTGTATGATTGTCCTCTTCAGAGAATAGAAAGGGAATTAATATCATTTAGCACATGCTAAATGGTATCATTTCATCCTTATAATAACCCCAGGAATTAGGTATCATTTTGCAAATGATGAACTAATAATGCCCAGAGGAGCTCCGTTACATTTCCACCAGTCACAGCATTTGAAAACTGGTGGATTTCACTACATACCAGTGATGGCTTTGAACCCGGGGGTGCCTGATTCCACACCCAGGCTGCTCTCCACGAAGACAGAGTGTCATTGATTCATTCTTTCGACAAGCTGATCATACTAAAATATGAATCCAAGGAAATAAGTTATATTTCTCTAACACACTTTCCTTTTTTTTTCCTACCCACTAACTGGCCCCATCTCTCCCTAACATTTAGCACAATGCTATAACTATTGTAGCTATTCAGTATATATATTTTTTGCTTTAGCAAAATTTGATTAAGAAATATAAAGCATCCTCAGTATAAAGAGCTTTAACAAATTGGAACAAATCTCTGAAAAATATATGCATAGCAAAATTGTATGCTGATGTAAGAGACAACAGTGCCACTATCATAACAATTTCTTCTTAAAATTGCCTCCTGGCATTAACTTCACCTGAAATAATCCTTTCCTGACCTATTTAATTCTACTTATTTGGTCGAGTGTATTAAAATTCGCAGTACATTATCTTATTCAAGGAGAGTTTTTGTAAAATAGGGCCATGTTTTACAATTAATACCAGTGGTGAAAGCCACAAATAATCTGTTTCTAACAGTCTCAATTTCTAAAACTCTGCCAAGACTTTTCAGGCCTATCATATATTTCTTGATTCGTTATTTATGAACACCTGTTATCCTGAAGTACAGTTATTCTCCCTCTACCTCTGACCAAAGTATACTATTTTTAGCATTATACAGATATGTGATCAAGGAAAGAGAAGCTTTGACAATGTATTTCAATATGTATTTTACTCCTTTTTATCTCCCTATGGTTAAAATAAATGCAGTTTTTAAAGTTTTAGGAAATTCCTTTAACTATATGACAAGAGGTTGAGTGGGAATGTTAGAAGCTATGAAACAAGGGATTATTTCTTTCTTATTTATTACACTTGAAAGTATCATTCTTTGACTGTTACCGTCGGGAACATACAATTCCTGGATAATAAAGGTTAAGTGTGCATAAATTTGAGATCTGCTTACAACTGACCTTTAGCTGTCTTTTAGCCTTTTTGACAGAAACTTAAAATAAGGTTATTCCATAAAATAATTTGATTCTCCATTCTCAAATCCAGATTTGTTACTCAGTAATTAATATCTTCCAGCTAGACAGAGCCATCAGCATTTGTAGTAAAACAGCCAGCCATAGACATGATGATTAATTTGGGCAGAATCATCACCCATCTAAGTTTTAGTCTACCCAACCATAAGCAAAATCAATATATGCATTTATTCATAAAAAATTATTTCTGTCTTCCGTTTATATTTGTCAATCATCTTTTGTAATTGTCTCCATAAGGTCTTACATAGTGATTGTTAATTTTATTATCTTAAAGTGTTTGTTTTACTTCATCTCTTGCTATTGTGAACTTTTAAAAAATATTTTCAAAGTTGTTTTTAATCGTGTATGGAAATGCTATTATTTTTAGTGCATTGATTTTTTTATGCAACAATGTTTTTACAGAGCTTTTAATTGAGCATGTCTATAGACTCTCAGGGTGTGCTGTGTAGACAGCCATATCATCCTCAAATATAAACAGTTCTTTTTTTTCCCTTCCAATCTTTGCATGTACTTTTCTTGTGTTACCACATTAGCTAGAACCTCCAGCGTAGGGTTGAATAAAAATAATAACTTTCTTCTTATCTCCTTTCTAACCAAAATGGGAATAATCCTAAAGTTCACCATGAAGTATGGGATCTGCTATAGGTTTCTGCTAAGCGTTTTTATTTTTTAGTGAAGAAATTTTATCAAAAGTTTTATCTGCATCTATTAAAATTATCTTATTTGTCTTCCTTTAATCTAAAAATGTAAACATGATGTTGAAAAATTCTGGCATTTCTGTGATATGGCCTATTTGGCCATCATTCAATGTGCCTATTTGTTTGGATTTCAGTGAGATTGAACTCTATGGTTTCAGTGTTAAGGTTATGTCGGCCTCGGTGAGATTGAACTCTGTGGTTTTCGTATTAAGGTTATGTTGGCCTCAGACAGTCAGCTGTGTAGCTTTTCCTCTTTTCGATTCTTAAAAAGAGTCAGTACAAAGGGGAAATTTTCTACTATTTGGAGGTTAAGTAATTTCATTAGGATTCAATTCCTAATGTGTTGTTCTTTCTATAATGGTTTTCTCTTGATCGCTGGGTGATTTTAAAGTGTTCTTAAATTTCCAAATATATGGGGGTGTTAAAAGTTTGGCTATCTTTTAGTTAATGATTTGTTATTTTATTTAACTTTCTGCAGAAAATGTGACATGTATGACATAGACATAGATACTTTGGAATTTCTGAAGGCTTGCTTTCTGGCTTAGTGCTTATTCAGCTTTCCAAAATAGTCCTTATATGCTTGTAAAGAATGTGTTTTATCTAACTGTTGAATGCAAGGTTCTATGTAGGTCCATTGAGTCAAACTTACATGTAAAATTTATGTGTAAACTTTATATGAAAAAGTAAGCAAATTATGGTAATAATAATAATAAACCTAGGAAAGTAATGTAAAGGGACCAGCCTACCAAATATTAAAATCATTTAAACAGTCGTGATAATCAGATCAAAATGATACTGTTCACAAATAAGGAAGACAGGCCAGTGAAACAGAATAGAAAGTCAAGAAATAGAAATTTATAATAAGGTTAAATCTCCAATCACTGGAGAACTAGTCAATAAATACAATAGGACAACTGGATATGACCTAAAAACAATCCACAGTTGGAAACTTACCTTACATTTTATACCAGGAAAAGTTACAAATAGACTAGTGATTTAAATGTAAAGAAAATAAATCATAAAAGTATGAGAATAAACCATTATTAATGCTCTTTTCTGACTGTTTCTATTCTTTATGCTACACAATGGGGGAAATATTCCCAATGAGACTCAAAAATCAGCATCTATAAAACATTAACGAATTCAAAAACATTTTTAAATTGTCATGGCAAAAGAAAAAATTGAAACTCCTATCACACTCAAGACTAATTTCTCTAATATAAAAGATCTCTTGAAATAGGCCAATGCCTCAGTAGAGAAAAAATGGCAAAAGATAAGAAAATACAATTCTCAGAAAAGGATATACAAATGACCTTCAAAAATAGCTTTAAAAGGTAATTATTCTCATAGTAAGAGAAATAAAACAACCCTGAAATACCATTTTTAACTATAATATTGTTAAAAATCAAACTCTGATAGCATTCTCTTTGGACAGACATTAGAAAAACAGGTAGTCATTTATTTTTTATAGAAATGTAATTTGGTACCATCTCTGTGAAGCACGACTTGGCAATATGTATCAAAATGACCAATATGTATACCCATTGATAAAACAGTTCCTCTTCCAGGAATTTATCCTACAAGATACTTTTTTTTTAAAACTTCACCTTTATTTTCCACCTTTCATTGTCATTATATTTTGAGTGTTCACTTTATAAACTAATTCAGAACTGAAGGACATTTTCCCTTTTATGATAATCTCTTTTAATAAGAGAATTTAATTCACAAACACTTTTTATTATTGCTTACATATTTGGATCCATTCTACGTAAGTTTTTCTCTCCATATTTTTTCCTGGGACCAGGAGGATATTTACCCAGCCTTCAAGATAAAGCTGGTACTGTTTTTTTCATTCCCTCTTCTCTATTCTCTTGAAAGTTCATTTTATTTTTCAGAATAGGTATTCTTAAACTTTAATATGCTTAATTATTTGATAAGTCTAAAGGGTATCAATAACTTTATCCTCATCTCTTTCAAGGCAGAGATATTACCTTTGACCCAGATTACCTTCCTCTCATCTTCCTTGCTATTCCTTTCTAGTATCTTAGCCCCGCTTTATAAACCCGCCATATTGATGATTTAAAAAACTCATAATAGTCACTGCTTATTTAGTCTTAATTCATTCAACAATTTATCTACTATTAGCTCTTTCATCTCATCTCTTTGTCCTGTGTTCAACTCACTTTTTAATAAATTTTATCCTTTGGTAAAGTTGATGATCCAGGGGTTAAAAAAATACCCTTCAGTCTTAGTCAAATACATTTGATTTGTCTTTATTTTTGAATGATAATTTTACTAAGTTGTATTGTAGATGAATAACTTTTGTTCTTTGAGCATGTTGAACATTTTTTACCCTTTTCTCTGACCTCTATTTTATTAATGAGACATGTAATTTCCATCTAATTTGGATCTTTTATTGTAAACTGTCTTTTGTTTCTAGTTGCTTTTAATCTTTTCCTTGACTTTGGAGTTTCATAGTGTTTCTGAAAAGTGTCTAGATCTGCATTTTCCCTCTGAATATTTACATCTTTCTTAATTATGAAAAATTCCCAGTCATTGTTGCTTCAAATATTGCCTTTCCCCATGATCTGTCCTTTCCTCTGGAGCTCCTGTGAGTGACTCGAGGGAGCATCCCGGGTCTTGGGACTCCCTGCGATCTTTTCCATTGCTTTACCTCCCTGTGCTGCCTCTGCATTCATCTTCCAGCTCCGTGATCCAGATCTCTAATTCTCTTTTCATTTGTGGTGAATTTATTGTTCAACCTAGCTACTGAATTTTTAAGTTAATGATACTATATTTTTTCTAAAAGTTATATTTTTTAAGTGAAATATTTTTCCATGTTAAGTATTTTTAAATTATTTATCTTGAGATTTTATTCTTCTGTTTCCAGTTGTTACCTCCACAGCTCGTGTCTATGCTCATTGGTCTGTTGAGTCTTCCTTTTGGTGACTGCATTGCCACAGTGGTGGATAATTTTTCATTGCGAGCTCATCTATATTAGGGGTTGCATTTTCTGTGAGTCCCATGTACGAGATTATGCAAGTGTTCATGTTTTTACATTTGCTTTGGCCCGGGCCCCAAGGGTTTCCTTTTCATTATCTGAGACTAATGCTTTCCCTTAATTTCTGGGCTTTTGATTTCCTAGGTTTCCATTTCTCAGAGGAGGTTTGTCCCACCGAGAGCTTTGTCAAACACCAGGCTGTCTTTCTGTTTCCACAGACAGATTTGAAGAGATTTTTCCAGTTTCTTTTTCACAGGTGAGGCAGCCCTTCAAGTGTCCTGGTTGTATGCGGGAGTCTCGGATTAGTTCCCTTCTCTCACCAAATGCTCTGTTTTTCTGAAGACATTAAAACCTTATTCCTAGTTTTGTGACCTAATCTGATACTTCCTGGGGTCTCCTGGCATCACCTGGAACTCACTTCTGCAACTGGATTTTGTCTTTATCTCTAGCATCTGAGGATTTCCTGAGCTCAGCTTTGCATTGGGCATATTTTGTTTTTTAAGTCTGTAGCAGTTGATGGATGAATCCGTTTCAGTCTTGTCTGCCATCTTGCCTGAAATTTGCTTCATTTCTGCCCTTAAGAGCATTTTTCATGTTAAAAAGTCTTAATTTTAGCATTAAGAATCTCATGTGCTATATTACATGATTTTAGTTGTATATTCAGTATCACTGGAAAATATAAGGTGAGAAATTATTTTTAGTTATTCATCACAACTGCATCACACGTATTTGAAAAATAATAGTACATCTACTTGTAAAATATATTATATATATTTTCTGTAGACAGTGATTAATGCCTGTCTAATTTGTAAGACCTCTTGTAATAACTCAATAGCTGCCTCAAGGGTTGAGAAACACTGTTAAGTCTTTATTTTAGAAACGTCACAATAAGTCTAAAGGAGGTCATAATATATTAATAGATAATTATACTTTTTCAGATTAATTTGTGTTTCTGAGCAAGATCCTTGGTAATTATAACAGCAGTCATAAGAACAGATATTTTCAATGAAATTTTAATTGCTAATAGAAGCAAGGATATGGAAAGCATAAGAGTAAGTCTCTGATTTGAGTTTTTTTCATGAAAGTCATTAACCTCTGATGTGGTTTGGCTTTGTGCCCCCACCCAAATCTCATCTCGAATTGTAAACTCCACATGTCGAGGGAGGAACCTGGTGGGAGGTGATTGGATCATGGGGGTGGTTTTCCCCATGCTATTCTTCTGATAGTGAGTGAATTCTCCTTGGCCTTCCACCATGATTATAAGTTTCCTGAGGCCTCCCCAGCCATGCAGAAATGTGAGTCAATTAAACCTCTTTCATTTATAAATTACCCAGCCTCAGATGTTTCTTTATAGTAATGTGAAAACGGACTAATACAACCTCACTGTGTTTCTGATGTTTCAATATAGTATCACTGTCTTACACATTTGTTATGGGGATAAATATTTGACAGGCTAGGTCAAGTTAGAATTTTATTGCTGCTGACCAAAGGTCATTGTAAGATTTAAAGGTCACATAGTAGGTACTATGTGATCTTTAAAAAGTTATAAAACATGAATTTTAAAGATATATTTTATGAGTAAAAACGCTTCACATTTCTGGAGCTAATATCAATGTAATCCAGGTATTCACATATAATTTTAACTGATATGTCTAAAACATTCCTTGTTCTGTGTCCCTCTGAAAGCAATTTTCTTTTAATTCTGGATTTCTTAAACTTTAAAGAAAGATTCCTAAATTTGAAAACTACTATTTTATGTTAAATAAACTAGTTATCCTAAGAATGAAAAATTTACTGAAATACCTTAACTGAAATAAGGTTTGTTGTCACATAAACCTTAAAAATGACTATTTGTGAATCTAAATTAACAAAAGGAGCCAGCAATTGAGAAGAACTCTTAGGAATAGCAGTCACAGTGTGACAGACACACACATACATATAGATAAGGGATTTCCTCATTTATCTCTTCTTCAAATTTTGGCTTTAATCTTAAATTATTCTCAGTATCTTTTTTTAAATAAGGACCTCTTATTGTTATTTATATGGACAGATTTTAATATGTTTGCATTTGATGATACTGTAAAAAACAGAACTGTTGCCAGAGTTTTAAAAGTAAAGGGAATTTTTTAAATGTACAACTATTAGATATCAATTTTAAAACTACCAAAAAACTCAGAATAGCCAATTAAACCCTAAATGATTTCTAGTGAAATGAGGGAAAACACAAGCACCCGGAAGCCTATCTTGTCTATTATAATAGTCATAAAATTTCTGAAATGTAAATAATCACTGCAATGCTAATAAGAGAAAAATAGTATTTTATTTACAGAATACATAAAGTTGTAGAATACATAAATTTATAGAAACTTACATACTCCTTCACCTACAGAGTCAGTGTTAAACAGCCGACCCTCGGTGCAGCTGCCCTCCCTCTATCCTAGGCACAGCCACTCATCATCTGGTCATTGTTCCTTAGCAGGACAGCCCTCTCAAGGAAGTTAACACAGGGCAGATTCAAAAGGTCAGAATTAAAATTCAATGCATGCCTACTGAATACCTACCTATTGTGTGCCCAGCACTCTTCTAGGCAATGACAAGCTCCCTAAAAAAAAGAACTTAAGAAACTGTAATGAATAAATGATGAGGCTACAAAAAAATCAAACAGGGTGATAGACAATAGTAGGACGGCCTCACAGAACTGAAATTGAGATGAAAGGACTTGCCAGTGAGAGGTCTGGAGAGGAGAACGGTGTGCAGTGGACTGAATCGTGCCCCACCGCTCCCCTCCAATTCATTATGTTGGGCAAATCCCAGCGTGACCGTATTTGGAGATGGGGCCTGTATGGAGGTAATAAACGTGAAGTGAGATCATAATGGTGGGGCCTTAACCCAGTAGGCCCATTGTCTTTATAAGAAGAGAAAGACCAGCGATCTCTCCGCATGCACACAGAGGAAGGGCCCTGTGAGGACATTTTGAGAAGGTGACTGTCTACAAGCCAGGAAGCGATCTCTCCCTCCACAGAACTCGAATATGCTGACACCCTGATCTCCAACTTCCAGCCTCCAGAACTGTGGGAAAATACATGTGTGTTTTTCAAGCCACCTTGTCCATGGTATTTTGTTAAGGCAGCCTGGGCTAAGACAGTGCGTTCGAAGAGTCCCTAAGGAGGAACTGCTGCGGGACTTTTCCTTAGTTCGGCTGAAGACAGGGTTTTTTGTCCCATGGCCACGAAAATTCATGCTCACAGACAATTTGAATTTGAATGAGTAAGACAGGGTTTTGTTGGGTGAAAAAGGAAGAAAAAGGGGAAACAGGGACTCTCGCTAAGCCAGAGTCCCTGCTAGGGTGCTTCCCACCAGCCATCCTCATCCCATTTTGGGGCTTCCCACCAGCCATTCGCATCCCAGTTTCCACACAGGAAGAGGAGGGGCCAGGCTACTCCCTGCGGCAAATGGTGTGAACCTGTGTGGCTCCTCCCAGTGGGCAGGAAAGATGGAGAGGGTGGACCTTCTCCAAGGACCGCCTCCCCCCTGGCTGTCTCAGAACCAGCGAGGTCAGGCCAGGCCAGGGATTGGAGGGAGGGAATTAGGGTGACCTGCCAGTGTTGGGGGTACAACTTCACCAGGTCAATTGTGCTGTGCTGAGGAGAACAGAAAGGAGATTCAAGGATTAGACACAAAGAAAGTCACTGGTGACCTTGATAAAAGCAACTTCAGTGAAATGGTGAGGGAGTGGGTTAAAGAGGGAACGGGAATGAGGAAGCAAGGACAGTGATGATAAAGAATTCTCTTGAAAAACTTTACTATGAAGAATAATGTGGAAATGGAGCGGGGACCGGGGACAGTGTGGAAATGGAGCCGTGACTGGGGATAGTGTGGAAATGGAGCAGTGGCTTTTCAGAAAAAGTACTTAAAGAGAAGTCAGATATATTATTAAGACACACACATGCACACATATCCAGGTGTGCACACACACATGCACACACACACGCACACACACGCACACATATACACACATGCACTCACATATATACACACGTGCACACACACGCAAACAAGCGCCTGAGGATAAACGTAATATAAGAGGGATTACCAAAGCCTAGGCCAAATTCATCCACTGAAAACAAAATTATTATAATAAAAAGGAACCCTGGAAGATATGTAAAAGGAATTTACATACAAAAAATCATCCTGTAGGAAGTAGAACTGTATCTACTGTGTTAAAAAAGTTTGTGTCTCAAAATATAATGGCAAATTGTTATTCTATTATTTTGTTGTTATTTGTTTTTTATTGTTTTATTTTTTCTTTGGCATTTTTATCATTGTAAAATACACATAAAACTTACCATTTTTACCATTTTTAAGTGTACACTTCAGTGGCAGTAAGTACTCTCATACAGTGTGACCATGACCACCATCTAGTTCCAGAACTTTTTCATCACCCCACATGGAAACCCCATGCCCAATAAGCAGCCACTTCCCAGAATCCTTTCCCCCAGCTCTTAAGCAGCCACTTTCTGTCTCTTGGATTTGTCTATTCCGAACGTTTCATAGAAATGGAATCGTACAGTATGTGGTCTTTTGTGACTGTCCTCCTTCGCTTAGGAAAATGTTTTCAAGGTTCATTCATGTTGTGTCATGTATCAGATGCTCCACATCCTACTTGTTAGGAAAATGAAAATCTAAACCACAGGAAATACCATTTCACACACATTAGCATGGCCACAATGAAGACTACAGAAAATAACAAGTGTTGACGAGAATGTGGAGTGACTGGAGCCCTCATACATGGCTGGTGGGAATATAAAATGGTACAGCTATTCTGGAAAGCAGTTTGGCAGTTTCCCATACAACACAGCATTTGCACTCCTAGGTATATATTCAAAGGAATTGAAACCAGGTGTTCAAACAAAAACTTGTCCAGTAATATTCATAGCAGCATTATTCACAATAACCAAATGGCAGAAGCAACCCAAATGTCCATCTGCGAATTAGTGGAGAAATGAAATGTGTTAAGTGCATTCAATAGAACATTATTCAGCCATTGTTTCATTGTGGGCAGGTCTGTGTCAACCTACCCCTAAGTTGGAGGAAGCTGAGAGACTAAAGAAAGAGACATACAAATCTAGTTGCTTAGAAAAGAAACTTTTAACAGGGACTTATAAACAGAAGCCATGTCTGTGTCCCTGGCAGTGATGAGATGATATGGTAGATCCTGAACCATTACCCCCCAGAAGCAGGACTTATGTGCTGTCAGGGAGGGGTACACACACTTCAGAAGGAGTGGTCATGAATTTGCCCTCACGGTGGGATTTATGGTAAGTAGGTGCTCTTATACGAGGAGGAATAGATAAACTGAAAATCTCAGAGGCATTCCCGGAACTGAGGTTAATCAGAAGCCAACATGGCAGATTAGCACCCAGGATGGAGTTGCTTTGGCTTCCATGCTCCACCCCTCTAATGCAGCTCTTACAGTCTCTCACGCCCTCCTCTTCCATGACCATCCCTGAGCCTTAGAGAGAGCGCTTGATGTTGTCAAACTTTAGCAGCAGTGCTTTGGCAATGGAAAATAGATCAGGCCCAGTGGGATTCCTAATGAGGGAGGTTCACAGGCTGTTGAAGCACCTCTAGTCTTCAGAATACAATGACCTCGGTTTTCTCAGGAGTAAAACAGCGTGAGATATATAACATTAATAATTTGCACTCAAGGATTACAGTCAAAAGAGAATTTGTATCCCAGAACAACAACAAAAAAGTACCTATTCCATTAAAGAGCCAACTAAAAGTATCATGAAGAAAATTAAAACCTGGTTCCTCTTTAGACTTGCAGACAGCAAATAATTCAGGATTTAGCCCAAATTGTAGGTAAATAATAAAAACTCAAAAACAATGGTGAGGGCTAGTATCCAAATTTTTTGGTCTCTAGTTTCCCCGTTTCTGCCAAGGATAAATCATAATAGGACCAATTTATTTTCAAAATAAATTTTGGTCTCATTATACTTGGCCTGGTTATTTGCATAAAATATGGCAAGAATAGTGATCAGCCTGAGCTGCTTATTTATTTTTTTTCCAGACAGAGTCTCACTCTGTCACCCAGGCTAGAGTGCAGTTGCGCAATCTTGGCTCACTACAGCCTGGACCTCCTGAGCTCAAGCAATCCTCCCATCTCAGCCTCCCAAATAGCTGGGACCACAGGTGTGTGCCACAACTCTGGCTCATTTTTTATTTTTTGTAGAGACAGGGTCTCAATATGTTGTCCAGACTGGTAGGCTCTTTTTAAGTTGTCTTTGCTGGAACTTTTATGAGAAATTGTGGATTCTGCTTTTTAAAAGCCTCAAGGCTAGGAGCCAAGCCAAGGATTCACCATTAGACTATGCTTGTAATACCTATACAAATTCCTCTCTTCTTGAATTCCCAAAATATCTTAAGGTTCCCAGGCCTGTTAGTAAATGACATTCTTTACTTACCATAGGTCAGAAACCTTGTAAGAGAACCATTTAGACAAGGTACTAGGCCAGTCTTTCCTAGAAAGAATTTATAAAGTCAACCTCCATTCCTCAGTCTGGTCAATTCTGAAAATATGCCATTCCAGTCAATGCCTTGGTAAAATAACCAATTTCTCCAATTATGCCCTGTTAGAAAAGAAAACAGATTCTTACTGAACTTATGCAAATAAATATATTGCTATCAGATAAAAATACTCATAAATGGTTTCCAAATTTAGGGTAACTCAGGTAGAGAGAAGGGTAAATTTTGTTCACAAAATTATACTTTACCCAACCTCTAAGCTATAAACAGTTCAAAAGAAAAAGAATTTTCTTGACTCTTCATCAATCAGAGTGGCAGCCTTCTAAGCAGGATTACGTACATCCACCTTGGAACTGCCATCCACAAGCCCTGCAGCTCTTTGTCCGTCAGGTGAGAGCTGCCTATTGGGCACCGTAGAATCCAGCAGCTCCTTACACAGTTCCAGAATCAGTCGAACAAAAGCCATATCTGTGTCTCTGGTGGCAGTGAGACGAGGTGTTTGATCCCTACCTGTTGTTCTAATAGTAAGGCAACATATTTGCAATGACAACAGATATTTGCAAATAATGTACAAACAGGTCATAAAAAGAACTAATGAAGGCTGGCCGTGGTTCCTCATGCCTGTAATCCCATCACTTTGGGAGGCCGAGGTGGGTGGATCACCTAAGGCCAGGTGATCTCTAATAAAAAAAAAAATCTCTACTTAAAAAAATACGAAATTAAGGCCAGGCGCTGTGGCTCACGCCTGTAATCCCAGCACTTTGGGAGGCCAAGGCGAGCGGATCATGAGGTCAGGAGATCGAGACCCTCCTGGCTAACACGGTGAAACCCCGTCTCTACTAAACAAAATACAAAAAATTTAGCCAGGCGTGGTGGCAGGCACCTGTGGTCCCAGCTACTCGGGAGGCTGAGGTGGGAGAATCGCGTGAACCCGGGAGGCAGAGCTTGCAGTGAGCCGAGCTCGCACCACTGCACTCCAGCCTGGGCGACAGAGCGAGACTCCGTCTCAAAAAACAAACAAACAAACAAAAAACAAAATTAACTGGGTGTGTTGGTGCGTGCCTGTAATCCCAGCTACTCAGGAGGCTGAGGCAGGAGAATCGCTTGAACCCGGGAGGCAGAGGTTGCAGTGAGCCGAGATCGCACCACTGCCCTCCAGGCTGGGCAACAAGAGCAAAACTCCATCTCAAAAAAAAAAAAAAAAGTTAAAAAAAAAGAACTAAACAGAAGATAATTTTTTGTAGGAAAGAACTGCTGTGGTCAGTGATCTTGGAGGATATGAAGATGTAGAGATAATTTCTTTTCTCTTTCTCAATCTCTCTCACTCGCTCAATCTTTCATTTGACTTTTGTCTTTCAATTGCTCCGTCTTTTTTCTCTTTTCTCATAACTTTTGTTTTTCAAAATTTTGAGAATAGGAATTATGCAGGTACTCAGTATTTATTGTTTGAAGGCACATTATAAAAGAAAAGTGGGAAAAACAAATCTGTAAGTTACTTCAGAGAGACACTTAAAATCTAATGTCAGAGGAAGGAAGAAAGCAGCAGGATAGAAAAGATGTGATAAATAAACCAGTTATAGCAATAATAATATTATATTAGAATCAGACAAACTGCATCAATAATGATAAAGAGGATAAGGACATAAGGGTAAATTCAACAATTTACCAGGAGGTTATAATAATGCTGAACCTCAGTGTGCCAAACAACAAAGCCTGAGAGGCAGTGCCGTGTCATATAGCCAGACTGCTTGGGCTTGAAACCTAATTCCAGCACTGACTAGCTGCAGACCTTAGGCAAGTTATTAAATCTCTCTCTGTTTCAATTTCCTCATATTGAAAATTAGGATATTAATAATGCCTACTTCTTCCAGTCGCTTGAGGATCAAATGAACTAGCACAGTGTTCACAACAGTGTCTGGCATCACAAACATTGGTGTTATTATTGTTGCTGTTGTTGATATTAGTATTATTGCCCCAAAACATATAAAGAAAAAATAGAATTCCAAGGAAAAATAGACATGTCAACAGTCTTAGTAGAAGACTTTTAACTTTATTTATCTCTCACTAAGATAAATTTAAGTTTGGAAATGTTTAAGGTAGCTGCAATAAAATGTTTGAACAGGATGTCTTAGCTTAAAGTCATTACAAAAAAGTAAATAGAACATAGTGTACATAACAAAACTACAAAATACAAAGAAAAAAGTAAATAAAAAACAACAACCGAAGACCAAAAAATAAGATGACAGAAGTTAAATGAGACCATAAATGTCAATGACTTAATGTATTAAAATACAACATCTTAGGCCATAGTAAAATACAAAATTTAATTTTGTGCTTACAAGAAACACTTGTAAAAGTGTGACAATAAGCTAAAAGAATTAGCAAAACATACCAAAAATGTTTTAAAAATATAGTATAGATGACATTTTTATTATGAAATTAGTATACAATGTAAAATTATCCATAAAAACATTGGGCCTTTAGGACCTAAGAAAAAATAATTATTTCAAATTGTACAAAATAATGTTTTAAAACATTTCCAAATGCACATAAATCTCTGAGAAAATATATATTCCATAAATGTATGCTGAATAACATAAATTTTATAAATATAAAAGGAAAGTAAAGTAAAACTGATGTCTGTATAAACCTACATTAGGGATTTGTTTTCTATGCTCCAGTTCCAACAGAGGATCTGGACATTGCCTCTTCCCTGCTTACTTCCTTGATTGGCTGGACTCCCTCTACATCCCCAGCTTCTACCTGAACATGCATTGTAAATGGGAAGTCTGTGAGCAGACTGTAGACAGGCCTGCTGCTTGGGGAACTGTAGGAAATTTGATTCACCCCAACCCACAGTAAACACTCAGGAAGATGATGGGTTCATTACGAGTTACTCACATCCAGGGGTAGGCAGGCATGTGGCGTGAAACTCCAGAATGCTGAGAGAGAGCTGGAAGGTACAAAAATCTCCCACTAAGTGGTATTACAATTTTCGGTTACAAAATCAGAATATCACTTTTTATCCCATAAATATATATTAATATATATATAATGTATGGACTATATATAGGGAATAAATATATGTATAATTTGTCTCTACATAGGGAATATGTATATATGTAATTTATCAATAAAAAATTTGTTAATCTCCTACTAATGTAAAAGGGAGTTTCTCAAAGGTCTTGATGGGCTCCTCACTTGATTAGAAGGTGGTAACTAGAAGCTGGGTGCATTCATAAGGATTTGAAAACCAAGGAAATTATCACCTCTTGCTGGGAAGGCCCCATCCCTTGCTCTGTGTAGATGTATTATACCTGCAGTCTGAGTCTGTGGGCTCATTTCCATGTACACTCTCACCTTCAGCTCTGCCGCCTTGCTGGCAGTAGCTCAGGCCACAGGTACCCTGGACAGTGGAGGGCTCAAGCAAGACCAAATCTTCTACAGGTAGATGATTCCCAACTCACAATCTCTTTTCTCAACCCCAGAGTTTTAGTTCCCATTCCCTGGTGCTGCTGGATGCTACTGCCAAGGTCTGGACAGGGGACATGGAGGGACACTGAGGGTGATGGGTGGAGATGTGGGAAAGAGATTTGTCTCCGCTCCCAGAAGAAGCAGGCAAAGGGAGGTTGGGATGTTTTGACTTTGAGGTGTCAGTGGTCCCAGGTTCAGCCCACTCTTTGTCCTCTCCATTTCTTCTTGATGCCCTGAATGTTCTACCTGTCATCCAGGCTCCAGTGAACAAGCCAGGAATCATGCTTGACCTCTCACTCTCCTGTTTGCCCCAAAGAAGGCATATGCCTCCCAGGAACGTATGAACATGCACTTCTGTAGCTTTCTTCTTAGAACCTTGGGCACCAATCTTTTTCAGCTGTTTTTATTTCTTTCATTTTATTTTTACGTGGATCTTTTCAGCAAACATTCTAGAGGCTTCTTGAATCCTATTCAATATCATACTTGAGCCAAATGGTAACGAATTAACAAAAAGGTAGCAAATTATTAATATGCTGTCAATGTGCATTGTATGTGGATGGGAGATTTAACTGTTAAGGTCTAAAGGTCCATGATTTTAACCTCATTGCTCATTGATTCAGGACATGATGACATACTTCAGGTCATTAGGGGGATGGGTTAAGGAAGTCTTCCTGAAGTTCTAAAGAGCGTGCCCCTCTGGAGTGGGTGACAGCTGCATAGCTTGTCTGCCGTGCTCTGCCCGAATGCTGTTTTCACATGGCGTCTCTTCTTTCTTTACTTTCAGGTAGAAATTGAGAAGCTGGATTACCATCATTATCTGCCTCTGTTTTTTGATGGGCTTTGTGAAATGACATTTCCCTATGAGTTTTTTGCTCGGCAAGGAATCCACGACATGCTGGAACACGGTGGGAACAAGATCCTACCTGTCCTTCCACAGCTCATTATCCCGATAAAAAGTAAGTGAACCGGTGAAAAAGCATCACTCAGTTTATACGGTGTTGCTTTTTGACAACTTGCTAATTAAGCAATAAACCATGACAGACTGAGGTGATCCCCAGTTTTGCAGGAATTTTCATAAATTGACTTAGGAGGCCAGACAACCCAAATCTCCAAAAATATATCCCATCATCAATATTTCACTATGGCTTAGCCACATAAATAAACCAAATTCCATGGGGTTTGTGCTAATTTAAAATGCCTCACAGTAATGACATAAGCATTAACATTAACTTACGCATCCAGAGGTCTTTACCTGCTGCTGCTAACTTCCAAGTCTTTTTTTTGTAAATGGCATCTCTAATTTTTAAATTATAAACACCGTTATGTTGAGTATATTTGAGGTAGTACCATTCATAATTTTAAGGAAGGGAAGCCCAGCTGCATAGGTGAAAAGAAGAATGTTTTTAAATACCTGAAACTTTTAATCTACAATAGGTAAGCTGGGTGACTCTGGGGTAGCCCTGTGATTGGCTTTGTCTGTGAAATGAGATTGTCCTTCCTTTCTGCATGCACCTTGCTCACAACATTGCACGGCCCCTTGGACTGGTTGTCTAAGAACCTGAGGTTGTCCCACGTGACAGCCTTCTGGGGTTCCAGAACACTCTCTGGCCATTCTTACCTTGCTGCCAGTAGAGCCACCCTGATGGGCATGCCTGGCATCCACTGGTACAGGCTCAGGAAGAGGATGGCCTCTCCTCAAGTCAAGGTGGCAGGGCTGGCCCCTCTCACCCTCACCAGCACATCCCCTCCCCAGCCCCAGAATTGCCCACCTGTCCTGCATTGCTACTGCTGCTACTGCTACTACTAATTAAAAGCAGAGGATCAGTGCCTCCTCTGAACACTCATTCTGCAGATGAGGGAGACCCTACCTTTTTCTCAGCCAGAGCTGCTCCAGGCACTTTCACCCCCTGGATCCAGGCCCAACTGCCCATGGCTTCGAGGGGTGAGGAGGCCCCTGCTCCCCCCGCCCCAAGTTCTACCTCATCTTCCACTCCAGGATGGGCAGCTTCCCAAAATGATTGACAGGACGCTTAGCTAGTCTTCTAGGTTGGGGAACCCCACCCTCACTGGCTCAGGTGAGCTCTTGCCGTGTGCTTTCATCAGAACAAGAACAAACTAGCTCAACATAGGGTCATCTCCCAGAGTCTGGATTATTTAATCGTATCCAAGGTCACCATTTTTATTCATTCATTCGAATTTATCCATTCATTCAAATGTATCATGATCAAAATGCTAGATTTCCACAGTTCTGCTCTTACTGCTTGCATCAAATCAACTCTGAAACTCTCCCTCAGATCTTTGAGGTCTCCGTAGAGATCTGTAAGTGACCACACCACATTTCCACCATGACAGACAGTGAAACCAAACCAAAGGACGGTGCTACCTGATGTGCGAGTAACACAGAGAGAAAAGAGACTCTGAAAAGGGGCTTATTAAATAGCAGCTTGCTTGCCTCATCCACAGCTGCAGGAAGGCAGGCTCCTTAAAGGCTGTCAGGGAGGGTGTAGCGTCCCGAGCCACGTTAAAACCTTTTCCAAAAGTAATTTCTTCTCTCAGATGGGTCACATTTTTGAATACATTAAATTCTACTTGAACTGCTACATTTCTAAAGGATGATATGTAGCTTTCTCTGATAAACAAGAAAGGCCCAGAATATTCTCCGCAGGAACTATTTGTTCTTTTCCTCTGGCAGAATAGCAGCAATATTCGGACATATATCCTTTTTTTTTTTTTAAATCAATGCTTCATGTTGGGATCACTGCCTTCTCAGGGGTCTCTCCCTCAGAGTCCACTGGAAGACACTGATAGGCAGAAAAGGAATTGCTAAGTAATATTTTGATTATGTTGTCTGCAATTAAAGCATACCACACTGGAGTTTTGCAGGCCAAGGTAAAGTGATTTTCAATTTTGTTTGATCTGTATTTTGAAGATACATAAATGAGTAAAGCGAGGAGTCATGTGACTAAATTTACAGTACACACATGCTAGAGGTCATCTGCCGATGAGCGAAAACGTTATCAAGAACTCAGTAAACATGATTTGTCAGGGAAAATTAACTAGATATGAATTTGATGATTTAGGGTTCCGGAAGCAATGACAATTTATCTTGGTTGATGCCATTGCGTGGCTTTCAGCGCTTCTGCTATTCGATACTGATCCTGAGTGTAACTGCTCCTTCCTTCTCAATCTGTTTATGTCACTAAAAGCAGACTTTTCTCAAGAAGAAATGCTGATTACTTATGTAAGGTCATGCACAGTTCCAGCACAGTGTGAAAAATATTATGTGCATAAAGAAAATCTTTGAGGAGGAATTCTGAAAGGAGGCTAACAGGATCTAGAAAAGGGCTGATGTACATAATTGACATAACGTATAACATCTCTGTGTATTTTATTTTCACACCATACCCAGTATAATTTTGACTCTATCCAGGGGCAAAAATTAACCTCACCATTACCAGCAAGCAGACTAGAAGTTTTTTTTTTTTTAATTCTAACTAATATCTATGAAAACAAAGCAAAATGTATAAACTCACTGTGAGGCAGTGAGCTGGGATTAGCTGCCCTTGTATTTCTGGAAACTGGGTTGATTTCAACAAATTAGAAGGCTGATAATACTGGAATGAGAAATTGACACATTTAGTGGCTCTGGGGTTTCTAATATGATAACAAACAAGAATCCACCGTTCTTTCTCCTACTGCTGCTTGGTTCAAGCCCCCAAGTTCTGGAATAACCCACACCGTGGGTCTCGGACACCTATTTCACTGACGTTGTTTTCTGGCACAACTACTGCTGCTCCCTTTTCCCTCCCACCTTTCTGATTTCCATCTTGAGTTATTTTGGGTCAGAAACTCCAAAATCATGCTGACATAAAGTGCTCAGGGTTGGTGATGGAGCATTGATTGCTGGGAGCAGCAGCAAAACCTCATAGGGGAGGCTGAGAAAAGAGCAGCCCTCTTACTTGTCTGGATCGGGGATTACAGATTCACATTTACTCCATCCAGTAGGAAAAGACAAATCCTTCTCAATCCATCAGAGTGAAACCAGGAGGCAGTGTCTGGAATCTCCGCATACGAAATTCAGAAGGGGATTCTTCCAAAACAGCGGTCAAGAGGGCAGAGAGGGGCCAAGAGCAACCAGCAAACTCTAACAATCTCTCTCCTCAATAAAAGTGAGAACAGTAGCAACACTGCAGCCACAGGGGGCCATGGGAAAAATCTCTACACACAGGGAAGGAAGTATTGTGCACAATCGGAGGAAAAGAATACCTCAACAACATCTGGCATATGAACCAGAAGAAACTTGTAGAAACTTGTTTGACATCCTCAGGATTCAGGAAGACGTGGCCTCTGAGAAACAGAAGCAGAAATCCAGAAGAGGAGATTAGACTCAAATAAAAAGAAGTCCATTTTGAACAGGACAAGGCAAACTGAAAATGCCGTAGTAGAACTAAAATCTCCATAGAAGTATAGAGAATAATCAACTGCACAAGATCAATTATAAATGCAACGTTAAGGCGCTCTCTCAGAAAAGACAAGTGTATAAAAATAAGGCCAGAAAAGATATTAAATTGGAGGACATAGAACACAAAAGAGTTAAAAGTTAGTGTTCCCAAGAGGAACTATCAGAGCGACAGGAATAGCAATCATAATGGCAGAGGTGATTCGAAGAGATGTTCTAGGAGGAAAAATTATCTCTTATTACGCAGGTAGAAAATACTTGCAGCAATCTAAAGAAAATCAGTGAAAACAGACTCAGGTGGAGGCACAATTTGCCAAAAACTTTAAATTATAACATAAAGAAAAATCCTTCAAACGTCTGGACAGGGGAAAAAGCAATACAACAACAAATAATACTGAGGCTAAGATTTTTTGCAAGAGTAAATTCCAGACAACAGAGCACCTTTTAGAGAAATGGGGAGAAACATCTTGGGCGTGATTTTACCCCGGTCATGTGAAGAAAAACACTGTGGACGCAGTGACTGCAGTATCCCTCTGTCCTTCATCCAGAAGGTGAATGGGGCTGTGCTCCAGCTCACAGCAAGTAAAGCACAGTGAGAGTCCCCAAGTGAGGAGGACAGTGTAGTGTGAAAAGCAGTCAGCACTAAACCTAGGGTTATGTCTAAATAGTGGAGGGAAAAGAGTTTCAAAGCCACATGAAGTGTTGAATCATAATTTTGCAGTAATGACTCTTAAAAATCCCAGGAAAACTGGGGTCTACACCCTCAAAGTCAATGCAGAAGATAAAGGTAGTTAAACAGAGTCTGTCTATTAAAAGGACAAAAGCTGAGTAGACAGCAAGGAAGGGCTAAGAACCAAAAGCACAAAATAGGATGAAGAATGTAACATCCAATAGATCAGCTACGAAAATTAACTTTACAACTGAAAAAACAAAATCTGTATGTAAACTCTCTAAAAAACAAAATAATACTTAAATATGTTCAAAGATATATTGGAATAAATAAAAAAGCAGAAGTCGTGATTTTAATTTTAGAAAAGTAAAATTTAATTGTAAAGAGTTTTCAAGTGTATAAAGAGGATCAATTTATAATGATTAAAATATTCACAACAAAAATTTAATAGTCATGGCCCACTGTGTACTGCAAACTATGACATCATATTTGAGAAAGAATCAGCTGCTACTCATCGTTTTCACCCCGGAAGGAAGGTAGACTTCTTGACTGAGAGCTAAAAAGATCCCTGTCCTTCCTCCACTTCCTGACCTTTGACTTTAAGATCTAGGATCTTCACCAACCCAAGTGAACAGCCTTCCTGCTGTAGCACCGCTTCCCAAGCTTCAGTATGCATCCGCGGACCTTGGTAAAATGCAGGCTCCAGATCAGCAGATGCGAACGGACCTGAGATGCTGCATCTCTGACAAGCCCGTGGTCGATGCTGTTGCTGCCGGGCTGAGGCAAGGCCTGCTAGGGCACAGTGAGTGCTTGGACGCCCCAGGCCCCACCAAAGAGTCCTGGACACGAGAGCCAGGCGTGGGACATGGGTGGGAGGGGAAGAGATGAATGCTAATTTTCTCCCTTGTATGTGGGATCAGGAGATACTGCATTGTTCATAATGTGCATGATTAGAGAAACACAACTTTAAGATTTTAGGCCTTAAATGTAACCATTCATGGATTAAAATAGATAGTATGCATATGAGGTACAAGTGAAAGAAAAAACACTTTCAGTAAGGCAATCTTTTTTTAAAGAAAGCCAAGGTAACTTGTAAAAAAATAGAAATACAACAAGAGGACAAAAGGAAAACCAAATAATCTGTTGTTTCCACGAAGGATTGGGAGAAATAATTCACTAGTCACAAGGAAAAAGTCTTGATTTGGAAACTCCTTTGAAAGACTGGTTTTAGCAGGGACTGCCAGTCACCTCATGTTGATTAGAATTTAACTCCCCTCCACAAACATACCTTCTTCCCCACTAATTAATGATCACATAAATACTGTTCACTGCAAGTCCCACATCTGCTATGATTACTTTTCTAATACAACTTGTTTTTCTCAGCATTGATAATTGCCTCTCATTTTGCATACTTGATTTTTATATACTTCCTAATTTTCTTCAAGTATTACAAGATCTGTCAAAAGAATATTATTTTCAAAATGTTCAGAACATTAAATAACCCAGATTTATCTGACTTCATCTGAAATTAATTTTATTTCCCTTTCTGGAGACATTCACTCTTCCATCCTCCATCCATCCATTTGCTCCAATCTGGACCACATATTGTCTTGGCCTGACACTTCCTGTTACTCCTTTTTTATGTTCAACCTCTTTCCTTAGCTCTTTGTCTTGTTTTCCTCATCACTGTTAGAGTTTGCATCTTCTAGTAATTTCCGGGAAGCATATGAAAGGTATATTTTTTAGTTCTTGCATATCTGAAAATTCTATCATCAAGCTTGATTATGAGTTTGCTTTGTTGAAAACCCTTTTCATTCAGAACAGGGAGGTCATGTCTCTATCGCCTCCAGAGTCTTATGTTGCTTTGAAAATCTTGATGCATCTGAATTTCTAGTCATTTGCCTGTGACCTATTGGCCTCCAATCTCTGAACATTTTTGAATCTTTATCTCTGGTGATATGAAATTTTATGTGGATATACTTTAATGCTTTTTTTTTTTTTATCAATTTTCCCAGGAAATTTCAATTTAGAGACCTATGTCTTTCTGCACTAAAAACTTTTTATGTGTTACTTCTTTAACAGTATCTTCTCTCTGTTTTCTCTTGGTTTTCTGATGTAATTCCAGCCAGTCATCTATAATGCCTCCCAGTGGATTCTCTTAGTTCTTTATCTTTTTGTTCATTTTTTCCTACTCTGTCGCTTAGTTCTATTTCCTGAGAAATGTCCTTGACTCTATCTTCCGAAATTGTGAATATTTCACTTTAGTTATTGTAACTTTCCTTTCCTCTGACTGTTCCTTTTTTTATACTATTTGGTTCTTTTATGTTTATTCTCTTATCTCTCTGTGAATATTTATTATAGATTTGTAGCGCTTTTCTTTGTTTGGGGTGGGGGGTATTTAGCAGTTTCTTTTTGGCTTCCTGACTTATTATTTTTTTGACTTATTCAGTAAAAATAAATTTTCCCTTTGCTACCATTTCAGACTTTCTTTATCCTGCTTATAGATCAACAGGTAATATACTGGCTAAGAGCATAGCCTGGAATCAGACTCACCAATTGACCAACAAGGCAGTACCTCTATGACTCTGCAAGAATCTCAGCATTACTGGGCTTGCAGTGCTCCCAGTGCAGATACAGCTTAGACAACAATACCCAAGTCCTTTCGAATATCTGAAAAGCCTTCCAAAACAGGATAGCTATAAATAAGCCCAGACTGTGAAGACCGCAATACCTAACTTTTCAATGCCCAGACGTCAAGCATCAAGACCATCCAGGAAAACATGAACTCACCAAAAAAAAAAAAAAAAAAGTAAGTTAGTTACCAGGTACCAATCCTGGAGAAATAGAGATATGTGACTTTTCAGACAAGGAATTCAAAATAGCTGTGTTGAGGAAATTCAAAGATATTCAAGATGACACAGAGAAGAAATTTAGGATTCTGTTAGATAAATTTAACAAACAGATCCAAACAAAAAGAACCAAGCAGAAATTTTGGAGTTGAAAAAATGCAATGACATACTGAAGAATGCATCAGAGTCTTTTAATAGCAGAATTGATCATGCCGAAGGAAGAATTACTGAGCTTGAAGACAAGCTATTGGAAAACACACACTCAGGAGAGACAAAAGAAAAAAGAATATAAAATAATGAAGCGCACACTTACAGGATCTAGAAAATAGCCCCAAAGCGGAAAATCTAAGAGTTATTGGCCTTAAAAAGAAGGCAGAGAAAGAGATGGGGTAGAAAGTTTATGCAAAAGGATAATAACAGAGAACTCCCCAAATCTAGAGAAAAATATTAATATCTAAGTACAAGATGGTTATAAAACACCAACCAGATTTAAGCCAAAGAAGACTACCTCAAGACATTTAATAATTAAACTCCCAAAGGTTAAGGATAAAGAAAGAATCCTAAAAGCAGCAAGAGAAAATAAACAAATAACATTCAATGGAGCCCTAATACATCTGGCAGTAGACTATTCAGTAGAAACCTTACAGGCCAGGAGAGGGTGTCATGACATATTTACAGTGCTGAAGGAAAAAACTTTTAACCTGTAATATATCCAGCAAAAATATCCTTCAAATATGAGGGAGAAGTGAAGACTTTCCCAGAAAAACAGAAGCTGAGGGATTTCATCAACACAAGACCTGTCCTACAAGAAATGCTAAAGGGAGTACTTCAATCAGAAAGAAGAGGATATTAATGAGCAATAAGAAGTCATCTGAAGGAACAGAACTCACTGGTAATAGTAAGTACACAGAAAAATAGAATATTATAGCACTGTTATTGTGGTGTACAAACTACACTTAAGTAGAAACACTAAATGATGAACCAATAAAAATAACTACAACAACTTTTCAAGACATAGACAGTATAATAAAATACAAATAGAAAAAAAAGTTAAAAAGCAGGGGGACAAAGTTAAGATGGGGGTTTTGATTAGTTTTTGTTTTGCCCATTCATTTATGCAAACAGTATTATCAGCTTAAAATAATGAGTTATGAGATAGTATTTGCAATCTCATGGTAACTCAAATCAAAAAACATACAATGGATATACATAAAATAAAAAGCAAGAAATCAAATCATATCACCAGAGAAAATTACCTTCCTTCACTAAGAGGAAGACAGGAAGGAAGGAAAGAAGGAATAGAAGATCACAAAACAACCACAAAACCAAAATATCAAAATGACCATAGTGAGTCTTTATCAATAATAACATTGAATGTAAATGCACAAAAATCTCCAATCAAAAGGCACAGAGTAGCTGAATTGATTTAAAAAAAAAAAAGACCTAATGATCTGTTACAAAAAACACACTTCACTTAGGAAGACACACGTAGACTGAAAATAAAGAGATGGAAAAAGATATTCCATGCCAATGGAAACCAAAAAAGAGCAGAAGTTGCTATACTTATATCAGACAAAATAGATTTCAAGTCATAAACTATAAGAAGAAACAAAGATATAATGATAAAGGGGTCAATTCAGCAAGAGGATATAACAGTTGTAAATATGTAAGCACCCAATACTGGAGCACCCAGATAGGTAAAGCAAATATTATTAGAGCTAAAGAGAGAGACAGACCACAATACGATAATACCTGGAGACTTCAACACCCCACTTTCTGCATTGGACAGATCTTCCAGACAGAAAATCAACAAAGAAACATTGACTTAATCTGTACTATAGACCAAATGAATCTAGTGGATATTTACAGAACATTTCATCCAATGGCTGCAGAATACACATTCTTTTCCTCAACATGTGGATCATCTCAAGGATAGACCATATGTTAGGTCACAAAACAACTCTTAAAACATTCAAAAAAATTCAAATAATATCAAGCATCTTCTTGAACTACAATGGACTAAAACTAGAAATCAATAAGAGAAACTTTGGAAACTATACAAATGCATGGAATTAAACAATATGCTCCTGAATGACCTGTGGATCACTGAAGAAATTAAGAAGGAAATTGAAAATTTTCTTGAAACAAGTGGTAATGGATACACAACATGCAGCAGAAACATGAGATACAGCAAAAACATGACTAAGAGGGAAATGTATAGCTGTAAGGCTACATCAAAAAAGAAAAACTTGAAATAAATAACCTAACAATGCATCTTAAAGAACTAGAAAAGTAAGAGTAAACCAAACCCAAAATTAGTAGGAGAAAAGAAATAATAAAGACCAGATCTAAGTTAGAAAAAAAAAAAGACCCAAATAAATAAAATCAGAGATAAAAAAGGAAACATTACAACTGATATCACTGAAATTCAAAGGATCATTGGTGGGTACAATAAGCAACTATATGCCAATAAATTGGAAAATCTAGAGGAAACTGACAAATTCCTAAACACATAAAAACCTACCTAGGTTGAATCATAAAGAAATCCAAAACCCAAATAGACCAATAACAAGTAATGTAGACAAAGCATAATAAAAAGTCTCCCAGCAAAGAAAATCCCAGGACTCAATGGCTTCACTCTTGAATTCTACCAGACATTTCAAGAAGAACTAATACCAATCCTACTCAAACTATTCCCAAAAAAAAAATAAAGGAGAAGAGAATACTTCCAAGTTCATTCTATAAGGCCAGTATTATCCTGATACCAAAACCAGACAAAGACACATTAAAACAAAAAGAAAGAAAGAAAACCCAAGCTAATGTCACTAATAAATATTGATGGAAAATCCTCAACAAAATACTAGCAAACTGAATTCAACAACACATTAAAAAGATCATTCATCATGACCAAGTGAGATTTATCCCAGGGATGCAAGGATGTTACGATATATGCAAAGCAATCAATGTTATACAGCATGTCAACATCATCAACATATGAATGAAGGACAAAAAGCCTATGATCCTTTCAATTTGTCCTGAAAAATAAAAACAAATGTTTAACATCCCTTCATGATGAAAACCCCTCAAAAAACTGACTATCAAAGGAATATACCTCAACATAATAAAAGCCACGTACGACAGACTCACAGCTAGTATCACACTGAATGGAGAAAAACTGAAAGCCTTTCCTCCTAAAATCAGGAACACGACAGAGCGCCCACTTTCACCACTGTTATTCAACGTAGTACTGGAAGTCTTAGCTAGGGCAATCAGACAAGAGAAAGAGATAAAGGGGATCCAAATGGGAAAAGAAGAAGTCAAATTATCCTTGTTTGCAGATGATATCATCTTATATTTTGAAAAACCTAAAGACTCCACCAAAAAACTATTAGACCTAATAAACAAATTCGTAAAGTAGCAGGATACGAAATCAACAAACAAAAATCATTAGCATTTCCATATACCAAGAGTGAACAAACTGAAAAAGAAATTTTACAATGTAGTCCCATTTACAATAGCCACAGATAAAACTAAGTACCTAAGAATTAACCAAAGAAGTGAAAGATCTCCACAATAAAAACTTAAAACATTGATGCAAGAAATTGAAGAGGACACCAAAAAATGGAAAGATATTTTATGTTCACGAATTGGAAGAATCGATTTTATTAAAATGTCCATACTACCCAAAGCAATCTACAGATTCAATGCAATCTCTATAAAAATACCTATGACATTCTTCACAGAAACAGAAAAAAACAATTTTAAATTTTATATGAAACCGCAAAAGACCCAGAATTGTCAAAACTATCCGAAGCAAAAAGAATAAAGCTGGAGGAATCACATCATCTGACTTCAAATTATACTACATTATGGCATAAAAAACAGAAGCACAGACCAGTGGAACAGCATAGATAAGAGAGAAGTCAGAAATAAGTCCATACATCTACAGTGAACTCATTTTTGACAAAGGTGCCAAGAACATACACTGGGAAAAGAAAATCTCTTCAATAAATGCTGGGAAACCTGAATATCCATATGCACAAGAATGAAACTAGACCCCCATCTCTCACCATATACAAAAATCAAATCAAAGTGGATTAAAGACTTAAATCTAAGACCTCAAACTATGAAACTACTACAAGAAAACATTGGGGAAAATCTCCAGGACATTGGTCTGGGCAAAAATTTCTTGAACAATACCTGACAAGCACAGGCAACCAAAGCAAAAATGGACAAATGGGATCGCATCAAGTTATAAACCTTTTGCATAGCAAAGGAAACAATCAACAAAGTGAAGAGACATCTCACAGAATGGGAGAAAATAATTGCACACTATCCATCTGACAAGGGATTAACAGCTAGAATGTATTAGGAGCTCAAACAACTATACGAATAAAATCTAATAATCCAATTTTAAAATAAGCAAAATATCTGAATAGACATTTCTCAAAGGAAGACATGCAAATAGCAAATAGGCATATGAAAAGGTTCTCGACATAATTGATCATCAGAGAAATGCAAATCAAAACTATAATGAGATATCTTATCCCAGTTGAAATGGCTTTTATCCAAAAGACAGGCAATAGCAAATGTTGGTGAGGAAAAGGGAACCCTCATATGCTGTTGGTGAGAATGTACATTAATACAACCACTATGGAGGACAATTTGGAGGTTCCTCAAAAAACTAAAAGAGAGCTGCCATGCAATCCAGCAAGCCCACTCCTAGGTATATACTCAAAAGAAAGGAAATCAGTATATCAAAGAAATATCTGCATTCGCGTATTTATTGCAGCACTATTCACAATAACCAAGATTTGGAAGCAACCTAAGTGTCCATCAACAGATGAATGGATAAAAAAAATATGGTACATAAACACAATGGAGTGCTATTTAGTCATAAAAAAGAATGAGATCCTGTCATTTGCAACAACATGGATGGAACTGGAGGTCATTATGTTAAGTGAAATAAGCCAGGTGCAAAAAAGACGAACTTCACATGTTCTTACTTATTTTGGGGTGCTCAAAATTAAAACAATTTAACTCATGGAGATAGAGAGTAGAAGGATGGTTACCAGATGCGAGGGGAGTAAGCGGGGATGGTTAGAAGGTACAAAAAATAGTTAGAAATAGTACGACCTAGTATTTGCTAGCAAAACAGGGTGACTATAGTTGAAAACGACTTAATCATTCATTTTTAAATAACTAAAAGAGCATAATTGGATTATTAGTAACATAAAGAATAAATGCTGGAAGTGATGAATACCTCATTTACCCTGATGCGATTATTACACATTGCATGCCTGTAACAAAATACATATTGTAACCTATAAATATATATACCTACTATGTACCTACAAAAAATAAAGCAAAAATAAATTAAAATACATACAGAAAACCACCATACAATTAAGAGAACCAAAAACCAAATGTTGGTTGGTTCCTTTAAATTACGAATAACATTGATAAATATTTGGTAAACTTAGAATTAAAAAAATTAATTAGCCAGATGTGGTGATGCCGCCTGTAGTCCCAGCTACTGGAGTGGGAGGCTGAGGTGGGAGGATCGCATGAGCCCAGGAGCTCAGTGTTACAGTGGGCTGTGATTGGGCACTGCACTCCCGCCTGGGTCACAGAGTGAGACTCTGTCTCAAAAAGTATATATATATAACTAAATTTAAAATGAGAGAAGACAGAAATAACCAATATCAGAAATAAAAAAGGAAGTGTCACACAAATCCTACAGACATTGAAAATATCATGATAGGGTATTAAGAACAACTTATCCCTAAAACTTTGAATTGTTCATGAAATGATCAAGGTGGAAAATATAACTTACCAAAACTGACACCTGAAAAATAGAAAATAAGTTAAAATACAAACACTAATACAACAAATGAAGAAATTAAGTCAGTAATTAAAATCCCCCACACAACAATAGCTCAAGGCTCACATAGCTTCACTGGTTAGTTGTACCAAACAGCTGAAGAAAAAAATAATTGTCATTTTGTACAAATTTTTCCAGACAATAAAACTGGAGAATACACACTTCAACTCATTTCATAAAGCTAGCATAACCTTGATACCAATATTCATGGATATTATAAGAAAGGAAACTTCCAGGACAATCTCACTCATAAACATCAAGGAAAATTTATTAAACAATATAACTAACAAATAGAATCCATCAATATATAAAAAATGATAATACCTCATGACAAAGTTGGTTTTATTTCAGGAGTATAAGACTGGCTTAACACTAGAAAAATCAATCAAGCCAATTTACAACATTAATGAATTAAAAAATGATTATTTAATAAATGGTGAAAAAGCATTTGATAACATTTAACATTCATTCATGTATTTAAAACAAACTGAGAATAGAAAGGAATTCCCTTAATCTGATACAGGGAATTTTATCAATCAGAATAAACTAGTTTACATTTCAATAACAACCAATCCCAAAAATCTTAGGGGCTTAAAACAATACATTACTTAAAACATGAACAATATAGATTTCTGACTGTGCAACCTGTCTGTTGCAGGTTAGCAGCAAGGTTCTGTTCATTGTCATTGCTTAGGGACCCAGCCTGATAGTTGTTGCTGGTTCAGTACCACAGGAAACAAGAGCTCAGAAGGTCCACCCTGGAAGGGGCACATTTCACTTCTATTCACTATTCATTGGCCAGACATAGTCTAGGGCCCATCCAACCTTAACAGGGCCACAACGTGCAATCCTACAAGGGCATTATGAATACATTTTACAGCCCCTGGATTCTGTTGTCTTCCTGTGAAGAGTGTTGATTCTAATTCTGGCAGACAATTAATTGGACACAGACCCCAAACCTTGTCTTCTCTGTGGTGGACAACAGCTGAAGTTATTTCATTTTCAGTTTTTTCATCTTGCAGCTTTTGCTCGCCATCTGGGACTACTGGGAATCTCCCCATGTGTGTAATTCTAAGAGGTCAGCTAAGGCAGAGCTTACATGCAAATTTCAGTTTACACCCTCTGCGAGGCCCTCGCTTCCAAGATCCCCTCTTCCAATTTTCTACCTGCTCTTCCAGCCCAGAACTCTCTCTCCAAGTCAGTTTACCTGCTTTCTGCTGCCCCAGGCCACACAACTTAGCTCGTAGGGAAAAAGCTTTCAACTCACCTTATCAGGTGCATTTCCAGATTTTAAGGGCAGACTCCTCTCCAAAGTCGGCCTACTTTAAATTCTTTGGCATGGCTTTCAAGGATTCCCACTATCTGGCTGAAAATTTTGTTTTTGACTTTATTTCTTACTATTTCCCTTCATTCACCCTGTGCTCTAGCCAAACCGATTGTGCCGTAGAACTTGCCTTGCACTTTTCTAATTCTTTGTCTTCGCTCATTTTTCGGAATGCCCATTCTCACATCCCCAGATGCCTAAACATTAAGTGACCTTCAAAGCCCAGCTCCAATATGAATTGATCTATAAAGCCTCTTCTGATTCACCTCTCCACTCCCTACCCTCAACTCCAGTCCTATCCCCACTCTGCCTTCCCTCCCCGACATAACTTTATAGCTCCTCTCTCATGTCACTTAGAACATAATGTTAGAAAGTAATACATCCCCACAGCATCTAATGTCCTGGCTAGTACACAAGAGATGCATCAAAATATTTGCAAGATTAATTTAATAAGGTACATAACTGCTGTCTGTACTGAAATCTGTATAGGTGCCGTAATCAAAAGCATGAAGTGGCCATTTGGGCCTGCCACTGTACTATATATTCTATAAAAACTGTCGCATAAGACTCTCTCATATGAAACAACAGATGAAGGGTATAATGATATAGTGCTTTCTATTTATTGGGAGAATTATTTAAGTGGTGAGAGTACATTTCTGTTGATTCATCTACATTCTCTCACGTGATTCTATCATAAGCAGCAACATACTTTTGTGAGATGGCCTAGTAGGAGGAGAGGTGACCCTGGTTGCCAAAGAATTATGGAAATATCACTGCTTTACAAATAGACGGGCCATAACACGGTGGCTTCATTAGGAGAGCTCTAACGAGGTGAGGTCATCCGGCAGTAAAGGGCAGGCGTGCACAGACACAGCGGAAGAAACCTGAGCAAGAACATTTTACCAAGCAAAATATTCTGTTAAGGAAAACCTAGTGGGGAAAAACACCACCGAGTAAGAATGAAATATGAGAATCCATATCACAATACAAAAATTACTTTGGGAATTCTATTTACTAAGAAAGAAGCAAGTACAATTGAAATGCATTACCCTTTACTCATGATCTAATAATTTTACTTATCTTGACATTTTCCAAGTAAATTATTCTGAACGTGATCATAATTATTTTAAAAGTAATGATTTTTAATTTTGGAAAAACAAGTCTAATCTGTTTAAAAAACATTAAAAAGAGGTGTCTGACTTAGGATTATTTTGGTTACCAGATACAGAAAGAAAGTGGTTTCAAATTGTCTTAGACAGTAAAGTTTGCCTGGTCACTCGCCAGAGGAAGGAATCAACATCAGGCCTCGCCCTGTATGAACAGGGGAATGAGGAAGGGTGATCCAGCACCCACGATGGAGGCGGCAGAGATGGAGAGAATGGACAGCTTAGCTGTCCCTGCCAGCAAGGCACAGCATGTTTAAAGAGAGAACCAGCTAGATGCATTTTCAAGCCGAATCCGCCGTGCATTAACTGTCCCTTTCCCACTCTCAAATAAATAAATAAACAAACCAATTCTATCACTCTTCTAGTGTAATGTGATGTTGAGGGGCAAAAGCTCTGAAGTCAGACTACCTCATCAAAATTCCAACTCTACCGCATAACTGCTATCGTCCAAGTTAACTACCTGGAGACTCAGGAGCCTAACTTATAAAATTGGGGCAATAGGACCGGGCGCAGTGGCTCACACCTGTAATCCCAGCACTCTGGGAGGCCGAGGTGGGTGGGTCACCTGAGGTCAGAAGTTCAAAACCAGCCTGGTCAACATGGTGAAACCCTTTCTCTACTAAAAGGATACAAAAATTAGCCAGGCATGGTGGCGGGTGCCTGTAATCCCAGCTACTTGGGAGGCTGAGGCAGGAGAATCACTTGAACCCGGGAGACGGAGGTTGCAGTGAGCTGCACTGCGCTCCAGCCTGGGCAACAAGAGCAAAATTTAGTCTCAAAAAAAAAGGGGGGGAGGGGGGCAATGATGATAATGACATCCAATTTATTGGGCTATTTCAGTGATTAAATGAGCTAATATGTAAGGTTATAAGTGTTATCATTGTCATCATTATCATCGTCATCATTATCATCATCATCATCATTCTCTGCCTAAATTACGGCAACATTTTTTAGTCACCCGGGCTAGAGCCTCAGACTGAGAATCTTCACTCCTGCTCCCATGTGGAGGCTGAGCTGTAGTCAGGACTAGCACTACCGCAGTGCCTCCCCTTGCTCTTCAAAAGTTGCCGTGAAACCCCACTTCATCACTATTACTAGTGGCTTATTCCTTAAGCCACCAAAGCACAGGACACAGCAGGTGTCTCGAATGCCTGCTCAAAGTCCACCCTAGATTCTATGTTTGCTGTGCCGCTTTGAACATTTCTCATGAGCACACGCCAGGTTGGCTGTACACCAGTATCCCATGCCTGTGGGTACGCTGGGAGGGTGAGGGGCCTGAGCATGCTGAGTGCAGACCGGATCCCAGCTTGCTACTAACTAGCTGTGTGATCTCAGGCCACCTGACTCTTTTAACTGTCCCAGAGCATTAGAAAACTGATTGCCCAGAGACACTGTAAGGAGTAATGAGATTATACAAATAGAACATTTAGCATGGTGCCCGATCAAGAATAAATTATTTTTATATCCTTGGTTTTCCTTCATGGTCATGTCTCTGCAGACTTCTAAATTGGGGTCATCAAAAAAAATTGATAGATTTGGATTCTATAACATTCATCCAAGTTACAGTAAAAACTTTAGATGGAAACTGGACTCGATCAAATATAGATACATGAGGTATCCCACTCAGGGCTGTACAGGCTGGTACCAAATCATTAGTGCGTATTACTTGGATACAATTGTTCACAGAGTTAAAAAAAAAAAAAAGAAAGAAAGAAAAAGCCTACTTTTTCAACCATTCCTGTATCCTCCCTATAAGGAAAACCATAGAGGCCTTGCCAGATGCTTTGCTGATACAGTTTATTTATTATCTCCTTTATGAGGAAACATATTAGAATACATGAGGTTAGCTTGGCTGGCCTTATTCCAGAGAGCTCACTCTGACTCCTGGTAACAACTACTATTTTCCTAGGAGCTCCCGAATCACCTGCTTAAATAATCAGTCCTAGAATCACAGCAGTTATTGATGTCAGGCTTAGCAGTGTGTAGTTTTCAAACTCCTTCTTGGAAATTGGTCTCTTTACCCGTCTTCTATTTTGTGCACATCTCTTGTCTTGTTTTGTGAAGAGCCTGTGCACATTGTATCTTTCTTTACACTCCACTGCTTCTACTGTCTAAACCCTGTGGAAATGTAGACACCTTTTCTCAACCAGAAGAAGAAATGTAGCAGTCATTCTTTTTTTTTTTTTTTTTTTTTTTTTGAGATGGAGTCTCACTCTGTCGCCCAGGCTGGAGTGCAGTGGCGCGGTCTCGGCTCACTGCAACCTCTGCCTCCCGGGTGCATTCCATTCTCCTGCCTCAGCCTCCCTTAGTAGCTGAAACTACAGGTGCCCGCCACCACGCCTGGCTAATTTTTTGTATTTTTAGTAGAGACGGGGTTTCACCGTGTTAGCCAGGATGGTCTCGATCTGGTGACCTCATGATCTGCCCGCCTCGGCCTCCCAAAGTGCTGGGATTACAGGCTTGAGCCACTGTGCCCGGCCCTAGTCATTCTTAGAAGTAGTGGTGCATGATGCAGCATTCTCTTGGTTTTTACTCTGAAAATGGTGCTAACTCCTTCCTTTGGTCACCTTTTCAGTTTTCACCCCAATCTTTGCAGATGAACTGAGACACAATTTAGGTACAGAGGAGCAAGGAGCTCCAAAGACACGAACCTGCCCCGCCTCTGACAGTGCCACAGTGCTGATGGGTTTACTCTCAGTTTCTGTGAGACGTGCTCATACGTGTGTAAGCAAGTGCAGGCCCAACCTGGGCAACAAGACTGAAAAGGAGTATGTTGGATGACATGACGCTTCAGGTTTCATTCTCTGTGTCTGGAATATGGGGAGTGTCAAATAGATCATGCTAGGGACTGCATCATGGAGACCATTTTGGTAACTGAATACTTTCATTTACTCAAACAGCATGAATTATGTATCTACATTTAAAACAAAGTATGTCATGGAGAGAATGGCCAAACACTTTCAACAAATACTAAATTATATTCTACAGCCATGAAAGAATATATTTTGATCTATTGAAAAATTGAAAAAGAGTCAGCCACTTGTAATGGCAAAACTTTGATGGAAAATCTGAGTTTTGCATAAAGATAGTTGCATGGCATGCTATGGTATTTATATATTTTACATATTATATATGTGTTGAGAGAAAAATCAATATTTTTTGTATGACATTTACTTCAAGTAGGAGAAACTTGAAAACAATGAATTAAAGAAAAAAATGTAATCCTTATTATAGGCTTACCTCATGTCCATAATAGCTGATCTAAATCGATCATACTTTAATTGCCTAGGAATATGATAAATCAGGCTGTGTCATATTTACTTATATAGCAATTGAGCTCTGTTATGGAAGGAGAAAAATTTCTACAATTTTGAAATCTAAATTTGGTTTGAAAATATATTTTGAATTCATTCTACCCTATAAAATAGAAAATTATATGGTTGGCACTCCTGAACTAGCAAAATTTATATCCATTGTAATCTAATTCAACTAACGCTATAATGGGCCCAAAACATAAAATATTTATTAAACATTTTAACTTCAGAAAAAATAATAAAATTCTATGAGACACTATAATAGACAAATTCATAAAGACAAAAAGTAGATTATCAGGGACTACAGCAGGGGCATGGGGAGTCTTTGCTTAATGGCTACAGAGTTGTGGGTGATGAAGAATTTTTAGAAAAAGATAATGGTGAGACTTGCACAACATTGTAAATCTAATTAATGCCACTAAATTGTATACTTTAAAAAGGTGAAAAGGCATGGTGGCTCACGCCTGTTAATCCCAACACTTTGGAAGGCCAAGGAGGGCAGATCACTTGAACCCAGAAGTTTGAGACTAGCTTCGGCAACATAGTGAGACCCCATCTCTACAAATATAAAAAAATTAGCCAGCCATGGTGGTGTGTGCCTGTAGTTCCAGCTACTCAGGAGGCTGAGGTGACAGGATCACTTAAGCCCAGGTGGATTAAGCTATAGTGGGCTATGATCACACCACTGCACTCCAGCTAGGGTGACAGAGTAAAACCCTGTCTCAGAAAAAAAAGTGGGGGGGAGTAAATGCCATATTTTATGTTACATATATTTTACCCACTAAACAAAATAAGGTATTAAAATACATAAGAATGATAAAAAAACTAACATGCCTGCTCTCAGCACTATAATGCTATATTTTCTTTTAGAAATTCTAGCCTCTGTCACCTGACCAAAAAAGGAGAGATAAATATTAGAAAGCAAACACAAATTTAACAATATTTTTGGTAATATCATTACATATAAAATCCAACTTAATTCACTCAAAAACAATTAGATCCAGTAAGGGAATTAAATAAGTTAGCCCGTTAACAAAGTAAGTATATAAAAGTCATATACTTTTGTGTGTATATTATCAATAACCTTTAGGAAGAATATTGGGATTAAATAATTTTACACAAATAACAACAAAATATAGAATTTCTGTGAGTATATCTAACAAAATTTGCAGGATCTATGTGAAAAAATACTATAAAACTTTTCCAAGGAACTTAAAGACAAGAAAATTGAAGACATATCATGTTCCTAATGGAAGGATTCAGTAGTAAAGATGGCAATTGTCTGCCAAATTATTCTCTAATTTTACCAAAGGGCCAAGCACATTTGCAATTTCAACTAATTATCTTAAAGTTTGTCTCAAAAAATAAAGGGTTAAAAATAATTGAGAGAATATTGAGAAAGAACAATGAGAAATAGATTGAATTCTGATCTATTAAAACACAAAGTTACAATCATGAATAATAATATGTAATAACAAAAGAAAAATATGCACTGTATATTGATAATTTTTTAGAAAGCAGTTTTTAAAAGCGCTTATCTTTTAGTGGAACATATGTCTATGGAAAAGATAGTCCCTTCTGTTAGCGTCTCAGTACACAAGTTTCTAGTATTTATGCAGTTTACATTCTATTTTATAAAATGAGGTCCGAGTGCAAATATGCTTTATAGTTTACTTCTTTAGTCACTTGTGTCTTAAACATTTTCCTATTTTAAACTATTTTTTCTATTAGATGACTAATAATTTTATAGTTTTTCATTGTGTGGATATACTATAGTTTACTTAAACAATTTGTTGTTCTTGGAACATTTAGATTGTTTCTAATTATCAATAATACTGGGCTTAGCATTCTTTCCTACAATGCTTTGTGCACATTTGCCTAAATCCTTGGACTAACTACCCAGAAATGAAACTGCTAGGTTAGCTGTTTTATGCATTTTTATGGCTTTTAGGTTTATTGCCAAACTGCTCTGTAGAAAGGTTGGAATAGTTTATAACATGGTGTCTATCAGGGCGTCTCCTCTTTTCTCTTTTCTCAAACCTGTTTCCACACTGACAGTGTTAAATTGTCAACAACTTTGTGTTAACATGATATTAAAAATTACCAATGAAGTTTGTGAAAGGAAAATATCTTGGGCCCCCAAAATCACTCAGGAAAAGTCAAGCTGGAAACTGCTTAGGGCAAACCTGCCTCCCATTCTATCAAAGTCACTCCTCTGCTCACTGAGATAGATGCAAATCTGATTTGCCTCCTTTGGAGAGGCTCATCTGAAACTCAAAAGAATGTTAACTGTTTGTGTATCACCTCTCTGTGACCTGGAAGCTCCCTCCCCGCTTCCAGTCTTCCTGCTTTTGCTTTAAGTTGTCCTGCCTTTCCAGACCAAACCAATGTACATCTTACATATATTGACTGATGTCTCATGTCTCCATAAAATGTATAAAACCAAGCTGTGTGCCAACCACCTTGGGTACATGTCAGGACGTCCTGAGGCTGTGTCAGGGGCGTGTCCTCAACCTTGGCAAAATAAACTTCCTAAATTAACTGAGACCTGTCTCAGATTTTCTGGGTTTCACAAGTTGAACATTCCAGAATAGTAAATGTTCATTTTTATGTATTAATTTGTGCGTTGTCTGTTTATGTGCCGTGCCCATTTTTTTAATTGGAAGATTCAGTCCTTTATTGGGTTGTGATAGCTATTTGTATGTTAAAGCTATTAACATTTAAAGCATATGTCAAAAATATTTTTTAGAATTTTGTTTGCTTTTGCCTTTTGTTTGGTGTTTCTTGTTTTAAAAGAAGAAGCAGAAATGTTTCCTTTTTTCCTGATACCACAATAGTGAATGACATCTAATAGTAGAAAAAGTTCTCACTTTGCAAAAAAAAAATCATAAAATAGTGGATTTTATGCCTGAGAAAATTATACATGTAGCATATAACCATTTAAGATAAATAACTTTTACCACCCTTGACTTCAAATTATTTTTTCCTTATTCTTCAGCAATTTCTCTATATCTGAAGCCTCTATCTTGTTTATTATACCTAAAGCCAGTAAGCAGTACAATAGAAATCCAATTTTCTGAATAGAAAGGTTCCATTTGTTGATCTATAATGTCAGTAGACTCCTCATGTTAGAACCTTTTCAAAACCTTAAATCTTGAGTTCAAAGTCCTCACTTATGTCTTGACAATAGCTTTCAGGCCCATCAACAAAAGAATAAACACATTTCTTCTCTTTCAAGCTACAAAATCATATTCTCTTTATACCTGTTAGCATACTTTTTCAAAGGAAAAGAACTGTTTCAAAAAAAAAATCTTTTTGCTTTAATTCCGCTGTGACAGTAAGAACAAAAAGACTTCCGACTTCATGGTGTATCTTAATTCTCTGAGAATGAAGAAGAGAAATAGAGGAACTGAAGAGAAAATGGGCAGTGTAAGAAATCCCTGTTGGACGAAGTTAAGAGGCTTTTAAATAGTGCATATCCTGCCTTTGTTTCACAGCTACTGCAGAAGTTTTAGAGCCATTACCTGTCCATTGAGGAGGACTTAGAGCTCCATTTTAGATGCCATTACGCGTTACAGTTCAGGCATTTTACTTCTTGGTCACTGTCAATCCAATAACGTTGATCACAACCATGTTAATTCAGGCAAGGTTTCCTGATAGCTAATATCTAATCTATGTCCTAATAGTTAATATCATTATCCATTGTGAGAGAGATTATTAATGCATGCCCAAATGATCAATTAGGTATAGACATGGACATAAACCTAATAAAAATTTAATGTTAGTGTTACTCATATATCTCATATATACATATGTGTGCATATATATAATATATATATTATATTATATATATAAATTTACTCCTTGATACCAGTATATTCTACAGGGCAAACTTCTTCTCTCACATTGGCAGTAGATCAGCATACCCAGGCTGTTTTATTGCAACCTTCGGCGGGCACACACTAAAAGAACAACACTGGGATACGCCAGCATCCAGTGACCACAACGGTCACCAAAACCTTTTCTGCAATTACCACATTCAGGTAGTAATCACTTTGTTACCTTCCATAGGCTCTCCTACTTATGACTTCATAGTGTCAACAGAACAGCTTTTTTTAAAACACAAAAACAAAACCTATGAAATGGAGTGAGGACTGTATGTGCTCAGTCATACATTTCTTTTAATATATACAGAAATGCAAACAACACACCCATGTGATTCTGTTCTGTGTCTAATCCTTCCTCACTAAGCAGTTTATAAGATATTTAGCTAGCTGTGGCTCTGAGTCCTTCTTAAGGAGTGGGATGGGAAGGAGAGATGAATAAAGAGAAAAGAAAGAAACCCAGGATCTCAAACATCTGATTCTGTTTGGTTGATAAGGCAAGGTGGGACCCAGGGATTCTTGAGCTTGGGAAAAATCACTACAGCCTCACCCTCCTTTTGTATGCACCTCCATACTCCTCTCCAGCACTTCCAAACGATCCCAAGAAAGACACACTCCCAGTGACACATCCAGTCAGGGTATCTTTCTACTATCTCTTGAATCCCCCAGGGGAATCTCATGCATCCAAGCTGGAGCAGCCCCTGCAGTGAAAGAACTCCTTACTGGGAAGCTAGTCCCTAGCGCGCTGCTTCCTCTCCTGGAAACTCTTCATGTAAATGACATCTACTCAGCCCTGGGGTTTGTTCCCACATCTGGGAGCCTTCCCTTAACCCTAGACTAGGCGTGGGACTTGATTGTCTGCTTAAACGCCCTGTCCTTCTTATGTGTAATTGTCACATTTGTCATACTTGTTTAATATCTTTTTCCATACTATTTTACAAACCCCAAGAGGTTGGTACCATACTTGCCTGATTCATTTCTGTCCTTCCAATTCCTAAAACAGTGATGGGCATGTAATGCATGCACTCTCAATAGACATTTGGTGAGGGAAGTCTAAGTAAGTTAATACAGGTGAAGTGCTCGGTTTAATTCCTGGCACATGGCGGTGCTCACTACATGTTAGCTACAGGTGCTGTGAATCACGCACATATCTGTGCAGTCCTGAAGCCTAAACCCGTTGAGCATAGTTGGTAGACTTTGAAAGAATATCAACTGCCCCCAATCCTTAGAACATTTCTGGCCTGCCAGTTCTCCTGGTAACCTGAGCTTGTCAGTACATAAGGCTCACTAACCCCTGACATTCTAAAAAGGCAAAACAGCTTTTAGATCAGATAAGACCAGATAGAGAGTCTCTACTGCTGACTGCAACACGCTGCGTGCCTTCTTCCTCCTCACCTTCTCATGGTGATCTGAAACCTTGTTCTTGAATATCTCATGACTCCAGCTCTTAAGCTAAATGATAGCATTCTAATTTTAGTTGTTTTTCAGCAGATAGATTTTGTCCTGCAGTGTGTCTAACTGCTGCTGTAATGAGCCATCATGCTGCTGAGTTCTATGGTTATATTTAGGTTGGTTCCCTGAGTGAAGGCTGAGCCGTCTCTTTTCATTACATTTGTATTTACTTTCAAACTAAACAAGAACAGAGTCTGGACTGGACCAGAAGTTGTAGGGGGCTCTGAAGTGTTTTCATGCAACAAACCCTAGTTCGTTGCTAGGGGGGATGAATCTGACCACATTTTTTTAAAAAACTTCCTAGTGATTCCAGAGGAAATGGCTGTGAAACCACTAAATGATATCTTATATTCTAGGACTTTTAACAGAGGATTCGGTTTAGTTCAAACTAGCCAGGCATAAAGGAAGCACTTAGGATAAGTTTGAACTAAACCAAATCCTCAGTTATAAGTCTTGGAAAATAAGGTATCATTTAGTGGTTTTGCAGCTATTTCCTCTGGAATCACTAGAAAATTTTTAAAAATAAAGTGGGGTATGATTCATCCCTTTCAGCAACAAACTAGGGGCTGTGGTATAAAAACACTTCTGAGCACCCCACAAATTCTGAGGCCAATGGAAGCGGGTAGGGGGCCCTGAGCAATTTTAGCAGGTGGTGAGATGATCAGATAAGCTTGAGGGAGGGTAACCCCGCGGTACCTTGAAAGACAGGTTGGGGAAGTGGAGAAAGACAGAAAGAAAAGAGATCCATACAAGAGCAGGCTGGTGCTCCAGTGAATGGGTCCCAAGGATCAGAACCAGAGGAGTAGCAATAAGAATGGATACCTAGAGGAGAGAAGGTGAGGATGGAGAGTGAGACCAGAGAGAGAAGATGAGGATGGAGACTGGGACCAGAGAAGAGGAGGTGAGGCTGGAGACCAGGACCAGAGGAGAGGAGGTGAGGATGAAGACCAGGACCAGAGAAGAGGAGGTGAGGATGGAAACAGGGACCAGAAGAGAGATGGTGAAAATGGAGACTGGGACTGGAAGAGAGAAGATGAAAATAAAGACCAGGATGAAAAGAGAGAAGGTGAAGATGGAAACCAGGACCAGAGGAGAGGAGGTGAGGATGGAGACCAGGACCAGAGGAGAGGAGGTGAGGATGGAAACCAGGACCAGAGGAGAGGAGGTAAGGATGGAGACCAGGACCAGGGGAGAGGAGGTGAGGATGGAGACCAGGACCAGGGGAGAGAAGGTGAGGATGGAGACCAGGAACAGAGGAGAAGAGGTGAGGATGGAGAGTGAGACCAGAGGAGAGGAGGTGAGGATGGAGGCCAGGACCAGAAGAGAGGAGGTGAGGATGGAAACCAGGACTGGAGCAGAGAGGGTGAGGATAGAGACTGACACTGGAGGAGAGGAGGTGAGGTTGGAGAGTGAGACCAGAGGAGAGGAGGTGAAGATGGAGAGTGAGGCCAGAGGAGAGGCAGTGAGGATGGAGACTGGGACCGGAGCAGAGGAGGTGAGGATGGAGACCAGGACCAGAGGAGTGTTGGTGAGGATGGAGAGGGAGACACAAATTCAAGAGATACTGCAAAAGGAAAACCAGATGATTTGGTAACATGAGGAATGCGAAGGAGGAGAAACAGGCTTTGACCTGGAGTGACTGGGAACAAGGTTTATCTTTACTAAATATGAGGAACATAGGGAAGAAAAAGAAGTTCAGGGAGGAAATTTAGTCTTTGGAACAAACTGAATTTGAGGTTCTGGCAAGATCCAGGCTGATGGAAATGTGAGCTGGAGTTCAAGAACAGTGTCAGGACTGCCTCAGAGATGTATTGACCAAAGCATCATTTCTTTTTATAGCCTGGGTCCTTTTGTCCCTTCACAGTGGCATCTGCTTTAAGGTCATAGTCAATCTTTTTCATTAGAAGGTAGAACATCTTACAAATAAGAGCCTTTGACTTCTTCTTGGAGTCATCTGAGGCATCACATTTTATTAATTGCACTTTTGACCTTCTATAATAGATGTTTTATCTGGCTCTTCTACTTAAACCATGGTACTTTTAGCCATCTTAGAAAGTGCATAACAGGCTCCCATGATTGAAGAAACTGGGGCCAAGAAAGTGCCAGTAAGTTGGCCAACCTCGCACAGCCAGTTATCAGCATCCTGATTCCCGACCCCCTGCACTTCCCACTGGGGCAAGTGGTGCCTTTCAGACCCTCCCTGGTGGCATCTTGCTCTGTCTCTGCAGTACAGCTTGTTACTTTGCACTCAGAACTGTTTCTTTAGAACTGTCATATTCCTGTGGTCTCTTATAGCTTATGTGTTGTTTCCTTCTAACTGAACTTTAAAAAATTTTGCTTTTCTTTCCTACTTTGTGAGGGCCTAAACGTAGTCACTTTATGTTCACTTCTACCAAGAATATTCTCGGTGTTTGTAACCAGCCTATAGATTTGAACACCATGCCTCACCCTCCTTCCCAAATGTTCGTTCCATGTTAATGGTTTTAAGAATTGTATGGATTGTTGCATGAAAGAGATTGTTGCATGAAAATGTATCTGTTGTCAACCCACATGGGTTCCTTTAACTCCAGCAACATTAAGTGATCTTTTGTCTTTCATACTGCTTATCCAACTCAGAGCCCCGGCCTCTTCTACGAGGGGAAAATGAGCTGCATTCCTAGGGCTGGTGAGAAATCAGTGCCAATGGGGAGAATAAACAGTAATCAGACAAGATTCCATTTAAAACATTAGGGTTGCAATGTGTCATCCAAAGCTATAATAATAAAGGCCCATTGGTCCCCAGTAGAGCACAGTTTAATTAAATGCAACCACAAGACAACTTTACCTTAACCTTGTAGACCTGATGCTTTCTATTAAAATATTTTCTGCTTGGTCCTTCTTTTACCATATAGATGCCTTGAACCTCCGAAACCGACAGGTCATCTGTGTCACTCTCAAGGTCCTCCAGCATCTGGTTGTGTCAGCTGAGATGGTGGGCAAGGCCTTGGTGCCTTATTACCGTCAAATCCTCCCTGTCCTGAACATCTTTAAGAATATGAATGGTGAGTGAGCCCACGAGTCAAAATGTCTTTTAAGCCAAAGAAAAAGGGAGTGGTTTGAAGTAGAGTTAATTAGCAACACGTTTAGGATTTATTATTGCATATAAACCATGATCCATTTGGAGATCTAAATAGCATATTCCCACGCCTTCTCCAGCTACTCCCTAGGGAAACAGTAAAGTTAACAATTTCATTTATTACTCCTCAGGTACAGCTTACTTACTCAGTACAGAAGTGCTGAAGCAGTTCTATAAACTTCCAATAATTAAATTTGAAGTTTTTTTAATGGTCTTTTGAATACATTAGTAGGTTTTGAGTTTGTTCTTTTTCTTCATAGTGATTCTACCTTTAGATACTTCCTGTTACAATTTCAGTCAGCTTTTTTCCATTGGTTTAAGATGAATTTTTAAGCACTATTATTAAAATCTGGTAAATGGTTTTGATGATTCATTTATTTTTTGTAGTATTATTCTATAAGCTTTGGAAAACACAGATGAATTCATATGGCTCTATTTTACCCTAACAAAGATATTAGCAAGTTTTTGGTGACCTTTGGCAGGCAGTGGATGTAAATCTATTCATTAAGCGTGTGATTTCATTGAAATGATGAGTCTAATTTTCTTTTTTGTTGTTAATTTTGAAGTTCCGTACTTCTCACATGCATGTTATAAGTCAACATGAAGTTATTTCCTGATAGTGGTATCAATAAGTTAGTAATTTAATGGAGCACTGAATGAAACTTTTACAACATGATCTGCTCATCATACATTCAAGAAAAAAAATCAAACAAGAAGCTGAGTTTACAGCAGCTCCTGCCACAAACAGACTTTTGTTTGGAATCACTATTTTTTATATTATTACTCAATTGCTATTATGTCTGCTCCAGGCATAGACTATTCAGGAAATCATGGAATTCTCAAAAAGCTTTTAGCTCTCTTTCAGTAGTAGAACCGGCTTATATGTTAAATACTATACATATTTAGAAAAAGGACTTCAAACTGGAGTTATAGGAGCTTACAAATGCCTGTAATGGAGTGCTTGCAATGGTATTCTGTTCAAATTATCTGAAGAGCTGTGGGTAAGGTGGACATTCAGGCAAGATGGTTAGTCTTTACGCAAAGTAATAACTGGGTTTTAATAATTGAGTCTCTTATTGTTAAAATGTAATGTTTTAGTAACAATATTACTACATTTGGAAAATACTTATTTAAACAGTCTTCATTCATAGTTCATATTTTTACCATATAGTAGCAGCAAATATCCATGAAGTTATGGGAGACTCCCGATGTGCACCTTTTTCAACTAAGGTCGATAAAAGAAACTCTAACTGCATACCTCATATTTAGATTCTAGTAACTTGAGGGAGATAGAGATAAAGATGTTCTGCTAGAGATGAGAGCATTATTAAAGAGATGGAAGCATCAGGGAACAGCCACCCCCAAATGTCTTAGTTAACATTTTTGAAGTGTGCGATTCACTAATATTTCCTCAGTAATCCTCATGCAAACCTATGATGCATGTACTATTACTATTTCCATTTAATTGTTGCAGAAGTTGCCTCTTGTAGCTTTCCTCCCATGTGAACAGTTATTCTGTACTTGATGATCCTGGAAGATGAGCCTGAACACATTTCTCCTTTCTTGCCTGAGTATCTGGGAATAGGTAGCTACTGCAACACTGCTTTAATGCTTTTGTTGGTCACACAATAAAGGCTAGAACTTATATCTAAGCATCATTCTGTATCCCTGTATAAAAGTAGAAAATCAGTGATGTTCAAAGGACAATTAGAATCTTTCTTTATCCTCAAGGAAATCTATAAAGATGGATAAATATTGCTGCCGCAAAGACAGATAAATCTTGTTGGGAGCTCTAGACTACTAAACAAAACAATTGGTTTCTACTGCTTTCTCATTATAGTTTTTCTTTAAACCTTTAACTCACAGGTGTTCATACACTTAACAAAGAAAATTATTGACTTTAAGAATAAATCCCTAGTAAGATTTTATCAATGTGGGACATTTAAAGTTCATACGAGAGTCCTTAATTGGTTCCAAACTCAGCTAATTCTTTTGGAGTCTTTCTAAATGCATGCATCAGGAATTCTACATTTAAATTATTTTTCTGCTTAACATTTTTCTGACATTTGTAGGGAAAAATATTATCTTCCGCTTCATTTTCTACTTATCTTAGAAACCTGTCACAACAATGCCAGCCTGCAGTTTGCTGTATTTTCAGAGGGTCCTATTACAAAATTGGAGCATTCTAGCTATAAAAACTTAAAACTGTTCCTTAAAGTAGCTATGTTACCCTAGATCCAATTCTTTCAGAAAAAAAAGCTTATCGCAGGATTTTCAATTACATTAGAATTTTCACTAGGAAAATGATTTAGCTTTAATAACATTTTAAGAAAGCCTGCTTTATGATATACATCACAAAATTATATATACTTATTTTATTTAAGCAGATGTCCTTAGTAACAGATATAATTATTTACAATTAAAATTACATTAGAAATTGACAGTATGTAGCAGTAGAAAAAACTCATCCTAAATTTCAATGTATTTGAGAACAATTGCACATTTCCGTATTCCTCTTTTTTTGTATTTCTCTTTTATGTAAATCAATGTCTTGTTAAACTCAGATTCAAAAATATTTCTTTCAAGTCCCACTACAAAATTCTTTTTAGAATGAGACCAGATACAAATGACAAAAAAGAATGAGAGAAAATATTCTTTCAAATAAAATGACCTGTCTGTCAGCATCCCCTCAAAGCGCAAACATTAGATTAGTTCTACTGCCTGAAGTTTTTACAATGTCTCCTGTTTTAATGTCACATGAACTTCCTCTGAAATAAGCAGTGGGGGTTGCAGAGCCAGGGAGCTAGACATTGGGACAGTGGCCCATGTGAGGAGCCCAGGCTTCCAGTCTTTTCAAGGACCAGTTGGAAATCAAGTAGGGGAGGGAGGAACAGTCCATGCTCACAGCACCAATTCAGGCCCCATCTACACGATCAGAGCAATGAAAACTTAGAGCCAGCCCCACTAGATCATTCTTGTTCTAGCAGAGAAAGTGGCTGTATCCTCTTGTGTGTTCATAATATTTTTCACAGAGTTTAATTAGGCTATAGTTAAAACAAGAACAGATAAATCTGAGATGTGAATGGTAGTGTAGACTAAACAGTAACATTTTGGAGCCAGAAAAGCTGTGACCTCAGGCAAATCCCTTAAAGTCTGTAATCATCAATTTTTCTGTCTACACAAGATATGCATCGTAACAACTTTTCATTAGGGTGGGCATAATTAGAGACAAGGTGTTCAGGGCACCTTCACATGGAGCCTGTCCATGACCGGGTATTAATGAGAGAGCCATTATGATTACACAACATTATATACATATCCAATATTATATACATACAATAGTATATATTATAGAAGAATATCATGCTCTATGAATTATTATGTAACAACACAACCAGGCAACTGAAAGTGTTGTGTGTGACCCATAGCGCTCTCTCGTTGGGTGACCTGTCGCTTGGCCCTCTGTGAGCCTGTGAGTGGCATGTGGCCTCCCGGTCTCACCAGCTGCATCAGTGCCTTTGCTTCAAATGGTTCATTTTGGCTCTAATTGCCAAATGCAGGGCGAGTGGCCAAATAAGTGAAAGACTCAGATTCATTCACTGGTAACAGGTTTTCAAATCCATCCTTTCCTGGCATAATCTCTCAGCTTGAATATGTGACTGGAGTTTAGGGAGCATCGTATTTACAAAGGAGAAACCTCTTTCCAGCACAGACAAGGAAAGCCTGGGCCACGGTCCTCTTTGAAAAAACCAAACTGCTGTCTAAGCTTTTGAGCTTATTTGCCTGCATTCTAAACAGTGAATTTTGGACGTAAAACATGCTGTCTTTCCAGTGACTGCTTTGAGGGGAAAGAAAGGGGAGTTCCTACAAAATATTCCTTGGATGCATTTGTCATACAGCCAATAGCAATTTATTCTTTCCTATGTTCTTTCACAAATGTTATTAAAGGTTACAGAAAATTAAAACAATAGGAATCTTCAATTTATAGCTTTCAGAGATGAAACTACCAAATTAATGATGCAGAGTATTACATTTGAGGAGCATGAGCCAATAAATGGCATTAAAGCTTTTACAGCTGGAATATGGGCTCCGCCAGCAGATTAGGGCTCTCCGACAGGCCTGTTTACCATATTTTGGTTCATTTCTAACAGTACCAATAGTTCTGAAACAATCCCTACCTAAAAGATTTCAGACTCCAGATATCAGAGACTCTGATAATGTTGTAAATTTATGTCATGAAATATGCAAAAGTAAACATAATAATGAAATATCCTGTCCCCACGTTTGTAGGAATCAAATTGCTTGGCTTTATCTAAGATGTTTACCATTATAGACTAATAAAAAGTTCATTAAAGAGACTTAAAATTTTAATTCAGATGCAGGCACATTAAAACATATGGGGAATGAGGATGCCTGAAGTTTGCAAAATTTTAGGATGTTTGTACCAGGTCTTTGACCTGTAATTTAAACGGCTTCTAAGAAATAGAAGTAATTATTTTATGTTGATCATCTTTTAAAACAACTTCTAAGGAGAACCTAGGCCTTGTAAGTCAACCTGATTCAAACCCTCCTTGATAACCCTCCTTGATATTCGTGTGAATTCTCTGGGACCAATTCTCATGCTCTTTTCAAACGTTGATGAACTTCTGGGAATGGATTACCAAACAACAACAGCAGCAACAAAACCTTCAGTTTTTCTGTCCCAAAGTTGATGTATGTAAATGTTATTTCTCCTCACAGAGATTTACATTTAATTTTGGAATTCAGGTTCATCCCCCATGGAATTCTGAACAATTCTGCGTTCATGATTTACATTTTAGAAATTTACTTCGAAGTCCCTTTGAAATGGTTAAATGTGTTAAATTTGAACCATGAGATTATCCTAAATTCCTTGAGGAAATTATTAGAACTACTGCCCCCCACATTTCTGAAAGTTAGATTTGGAATTGTCATGCATATATCTAGTCTCTCTGAGCACTTCCTCCATGCACACTTAACTCATTTGTCTGCAGAGAATCCTGGGATTATAAAGTTGGAAGATCCGTGTAGGGGTCCTTTGGTCTAAGAGTATCTCCAATTTACCAAACTAATCAACCATTACTTCCACGAAGGCAAAATGTTTGTGTTGGTCTTTCCTTTTCTTATATAGAGCTTGGCACACCTAGTAGAATCAGGTGCCTAATATGTGCTTGTGTGAAATTAGTTCACTAACTCAGCCTACGCAACCAGTACTTATTTATTCCGTCTTGTCCAAGCAGCCTCACTACTTCATGGGGTAGCTGTTCTACTTCCAAAGAGAAAGGCAGCTCCTGTTTTGAAAGGAAATTTACACCTAACATTTCCATCTGGTTCACCTCTCTCATCTAAACTACACAGCACAATGGTTAATCCTTTTCCACATATAGCAAGCCCTCGGGAAATTATAGAAAACTTTCCTTCCCCCTCGGTATTCACTTCTCCAAGTGCAATATCCCTACTTCTTCCAAGCATTCTCTATAAGCAGAGCTCCCAAAGCCTGGAAAATCTTTGAGGATGGGGAGGGAGGACTCATTTCTACAGAAACAGATGGTTGTGCAGCGATCTAAGTGAGAGGGCAGCCCAGGACAGCAGATGGTCCTGGGAAGGGCTCAGGCCTCCCTCCCTCACCTGATGCCCCCACGCGTGGTCAGCCCATAAAGACCTCTTTACCATGGTGAAACCTACACATGCTTATGAGGTTAAATGCCTTTCCTCTTCACTGAGACTGCTACATTTGAGTCTATTTTCAACCCAAATCCACTTATAAAAAGCATCAGGGGAGTGGGGTCAGTCACAAACTGTAAATTACGTCTCTATGTGCTCTTCTCTGTAGACCTCCCTGGTTGCGCCTGCCCGGAGGGAAGGATTATTCTGAGTTGTCTGTAACCTGGTAGGGCGATGTCTAAAGAAATCAGAATCCAGCTCTGAAGGCTGTGTCTTAGCTTCCTGGAGCCACGTAACAAATTACCATACACAGAATGGCTTAAACAACAGAAATGTATCGTCTCCCAGTTCTGGAGGCTACGAGTTAAAGATCAAGGTGTGGACAGGGCCAGCTCTCACTGCAGGCTCCGGGGAAGCCTCCTTCCTGCTGCTTCTAGCTTCCGGAGGTGCCAGCCGTCCTTGAGCTCCTTGGCTTGTGGATGACGCATCACTCCAGTCCCGCCCCATCTTCATGTGGCCTTTTTTCCTGTGCGTCTGTCTGTGTCTCTTCTCTTCCTATGAGAATACCAGCCCTCATAAGGATTGGATTAAGGGCCCACCCTACTCCAATACTCCAATATTACTTTATCTTAACTACTTTCATTGGCAATGACCCTATTTCCAAGTAAGGCCACATCCTAAAGTTCTGGAAAAGACAGGAATTTGGGGGAGACACTATTCAATCCAGTCCAGATGATATACCTCTTTCCTACAGCCTGTGGGGAGAAAATCTCATCTTTGATAAATAAAGGTAGAGGTTTTGTGTTCGTTTCACTCCTTCACATTGCTGTAACTAGTGTTACTGAGCCTGCTCTGCACGGACTAATGAAAACTCCCTCTTTCAACAACAAAAATGTCATGCCTTTTCCTTTCAGCAGGAAGGGTTTGTTTAGTTAAGAAAGAAACTGGGCCTGGATAAGTTTTGAGTAGGGGAGATGCAGGGAATTGATGTTTCTCTTCTTCTTCGGTAATGCTGCAAACTAACCAGAGATGGAAGCTCACACTTCCAACAGCTCTGGATGCTGCCCTGGGGATCCCATAGCAGCACCCCAGGGTGCTGCCGCACCAGCCCAGTCTCGAGGGACCTGGCCACGGTGAGGCTGGTTCACCTGGGCCTGTCCCGGCCCAAACCAGCTGGGCAGGAGGCTCAGGCCACTCTGCCTAAAGGGGTTTGTACCAATAAATGTGGGTCACCTGGTGGACAAGCAGGGGAAGATGCTTGGGCAGATGGGATAATTTGTGGAGAAACAAGAAATGGGACAAAGCATGCAGCTGCCGAGCACAGCACTGAGGCGCAAAGGCTCCGGCTGCAGTTCTTCTGGGTTCAAACTGTTTGCCGGCTGTGGCTTTTGACGGGTCATGTAACAACTCCGTGCCTTAGTCTCCATAATTTAAAAACCAAGTTACTGGGAGGATTAAAGCAGCTCATTGACTTGCAGAGAACTATAAGAAGGTCATTTTTCAGGAGTTCTACTTGGAGAGAAGGAGGGGAATGAATTGTGGAATCGAGGGTAAGTGCTTTGAAACTAGCGTGTTAGGTAAATGTCTCCTACCTGCAGCACAGGGTTTATGGAGAGAACCAAATACATGTGGCTTTATATGGTCCTTCCAAGAAAATTAAGTGAAATCTTTTTAAGTTAATATCATAATTAACATCTAAGATGATTACATATGAAATAAATATTCAAGAATCAATACCTTTCCCATATGTCAGCAGTCAGAAATGCAATGCAAAGTTCATTTTCTAGATGCTACTAATTCCTAATTGCAAATATTCCAACCCAGACAAACTTTCACTGCTCAGCTCTCCCTTCCCCCGAAGACAGTTTAGTTCCTTCCTTGGCCCTCTCACATCATTGCAAAGAAGGGCTGAGTAGTGACCTACGCATAGGGCTGCATCAGCAGGTTCACTGGCCTGCCCCAGTGAACTAGTGAAATCCCAACCTCTTTCCACTGTGTTCTGTTTTCGATTGGCCCTTATATTTGTGGTTTCTCTGTATAAATCTTTCCAAGTTGTTGTGGCCAAGTTTCCTCTGGACATCCCCATTTCACCAGCATCTGGCTTTACCACTGTCCCCACTTATCCAACTTTACCTGAAGGGATCAGACTGCCAGGAGGATACAGAGTTGCAGATAGGTTCATGACCCAGGCACATCCCCATTGTTTCTGGACCAGTGGCAAATGTGGTATATCAAGAATGGCTTGTGTAAGAGAATCCCATTCATTGCTTCTGAAACGGTGATGAAAGGTGTCGACAAAAAGAGTCACACTCTGTAAAATATTTAAAGAGGCTTATTCTGAGCCAAATATGGGTGACCATGACCCAGGGCACAGTCTCAGGAGGTCCTGAGAACATGTGCCTAAGGTGGTTGAGTTACAGCTTGGTTTTTATATCTTTTAGGGAGACATAAGACATCAATCGATATGTGTGGGGTATACATTGGTTTGGTTCAGAAGGGCGGTGGTTTACAGGTCATAGTGGGTTCAAAGAGTTCCTGATTGGCAATTGGTTGAAAGAGTTAAGTTATTGTCTAAACACCTGGAATCAACAGAAAAGAGTGTCAGGGTCAAGATAAGGGGCTGTGGAAACCAGGTTTCTTATTATGTAGATGAAGTCTCATAGGTGGTACCCTTAGAGAAAATAAGTTGGCAGATGTAGACTCTCCGTAAATCTCTTCAGGACTGGGAGGGTATGGAATGGGGAAAGATCTATTATGTTAATAGAGATTCTTTATAGACACAACTTTCTCCCCACTAAAATGACTTTTCAGTCCATTTCAAAATATGGCAAAGAAAGATATTTGGGGTGAAATATTTTGATTTTCTACTTTGTCTGTCATGTGAGGTTATGCTAGAGTCAGGCTGGAAAGTAAGCCACGTTATATAGGGTTAAATGAAACCTCTCTGATGAGATTTTATGGTTTGTGGGGTGTGACTCCCCAGGTCCCTTAGATAGGAATTTGGGCAAGAGAAGTAAAAGGTCAGAGTTCAGTCCTCAAAAGGAACTGCAGTATGGAAACAGCAGCTCAGGATGGAGCTGGAACTGGCACTCATGCCCCCTGCCTGTGTGTGGAACAGGCCATGTGATCTGAAGCCTGCTTCTCAGCCTACGAGACACCCTACTGCCATTCCAGGGACTCTGGGAGTTATCTCTGCTCTTCCCTCCATATCCACACTCAGACATCCCATCCTTTCAGTAACCTCCCCTGACTCCGCCCCCACTAGCAGAACAGAGGGCTCGTCCCTCCGATTATTCCCAATCTGCCTTGCTGGGTAGAGGTCCTATTTCTTGTGTCCCTCCTCACCAGGCGGGAGAGCCCAGATGCCGGGTGACAGTTGGGACAACTGGCTTTTGGCTGGACCTGTTTTCAAAGCCATGTTTGGAATGTGTGCTTTTGTTACAGGAAAGGGGTCCTGATCCAGATCCAAAGAGAGCATTCTTGGATCTCACGCAAGACAGAATTCAGGGCAAGTCCATAAAGTAAAGTGAAAGCAAGTTTATTAAGAAAGTAAAGGAATAAAAGAATGGCTACTCCATAGACAGAGCAGCCCCAAGGGCTGCTGGTTGCCCATTTTTATGGTTATTTCTTGAAGATATGCTAAACAACGGGCGGATTATTCATATCTCCCCTTTTTAGACCATATAGGGTAACTTCCTGATGTTGCTGTGGCATCTGTAAACTGTCATGGCCCTGGTGGGAGTGTAGCAGTGAGGACAACCAGAGGTCACTCTCATCGCCATCTTGGTTTTGATGGGTTTGGGCCGGCTTCTTTACTGCGACCTATTTCATCAGCAAGGTCTTTCTGACCTGTGTCTTGTGCCAACCTCCTATTTCATCCTGTGACTCAGAATCCCTTCACTGTCTGGGGATGCAGCCCAGTGGGTCCCAGCTTCATTTTACCCAGCTTCTATTTAAGATGGATTTGCTCTGGTTTAAACGCCTCTGATACCTTGTCACCCCTCCACCCCTCTGAGGTACCCCAACAGGGATCCACAGACAAAATGACTGGGTTGTGGCTGGTTTCCAGTGCTTGGCCAGTGACATCCCTCCTGCTAGCTGGGAACTGGCACATTTCCCAATCAGAGATTGCGACCAATTCAGCTAAGGCCTTACAGATCTGCCTAGAGAAATCTGTATAATATGCTTTAATGTATTTAAACGCTCAAAATGGGCCCCAAGTGAGCAGGCATGCACATATTCGCCCAAGAGAAAATAGCGTTCTTTTCTATTTATGCAACAGAAAGTTTTACTTAATCTGAGCAAGAAAGCAAATAGCAATTTCTAAAGCTTTAATTTAAGGAGGCTTCTCTATTCAGTCAGCTCATAATTTGTAGTTTTTAAGTCCCCTAAAATATCACCTATTCTGGATTTGCTGATAATTGAGAGTTCATTCTGATTTTCCTTTATATGCAAATCTTCCATGAGCACCAACTAATGACTTTTTAAAGGTCTCTTTGTGGACATTGCAGAGAAAGTAAGAATGTCACCAAGTGTAATTGTTATGCTGAATACCACTATTCATGCCATCGTTAAAAGGTCCGTTTAAAGGGGGTGAGAGACAAAAGCTAAGCTTGACTGGATGGAGGAGCCTTTCCGTGCCACTGCGGAACCCCTCGCAGGGGTGGGTAGTGAGGGTGAGTAAATTGTTCTGCCCTCCCCTGAGTTCCCAGGCTCCTTGAGTCGCACGTGCTCTTCTAGAGACTGATGGGAACGCTCAGCTTGCTTCACTCTCAGACCTTCTCTCCCCGCCCAGCGCGGACGGGCTCCGGGCTAGGAGCTCGCAGAGGGACGGGCTGTGTCGCCTCGCCTCTCCCTGCCTCTGTGTAGGAATTCCCCGCCGCTGAGGTCAGGAGGGCGGGAGTGACACAGGAGCCGTGGCTGCCTGGACTCCTGGGCTGCCCCAGGAGCCGAGGACAGCCAGGTGGAGGCGGCTACGGCTCGGCCCGAACCCACCACGGCCTCCCCTGCAGGGACCTGTGTCCAGCCTCCACGGCCCTGCAGCTGCATTCGCCTCAGCCTCTCGTGCTGGGATCCCTGGGCCCTTCTAGATTCCCATCACGCAGGGTCAAAAATGCCCCCACCCGTGCACGCTCACCGTGAGAAACCCACTCCCATGCCGTGCACTGATCGCCCGGCGTGCTGCCCGGACTCCAGCCCTGCTGCCTCGGCCTTTCCATTCTGCACCGCAGGGAAGGCCCAGGCGTCGCGCGGCCAGCCCCTGGGGACACCTTCAGGCTGCTCGAGAGGGTTCCAGCTGCCAGGTCAGGAGCAGAGCACAGCCACCGCGCCCTCCAAGGACACCAAGGCACGTCCCGCTGTCCCCCCAGCGCGTGGCCAGTTCCCCGCGACTCTTTAAGCAGTTCTGCTGGCGGTGGCCCCCACACCTGCCTGGGCCCACAGCTCACCCAGGTCGAGGGACCCTCGTGTCAGCTCCCTGCCACACCTGTGGTTTGCTTTCTCCAAATAGGAAACTGTTGGAGAAATGTTCCTCTTAGTATGAAATCAGCTTTCCATTTTATTGCCTTTCTTAAAAATCTGTAATTTTTACTTTGACAGAATGGAATATAAATGGCTCAGAAGAAGCTTAACCATCAATAAATGTGGAGTTGAAAAATGCAATGGACATATTCTCTAGAAAAACTGCAAATATTATTGATATTTTCTTGCTTGCCTGCTTTCTGTATTATATTCTCATGTACATCTTGAATTAATGTTCCAAGTAATAAAGAAGAAAGGTAAAGATGGCAACGTAATTATGACCAAGTTCTGTTCAGAGCCCTCGAAGATCAATTTACTTTTTTTGCTCTTAAGTACAGTACTTTAATATGAGCTTTAGTGAGCATATTTATATTCATTTTGAGGCGGTCATACAATGAAATTAAAAATC